>NC_000004.12:133466835-133769865 GCF_000001405.40 Homo sapiens | reverse complement strand
AGTGCAAATATTTCCATTATATCCTATAATAGTATAAAAATGAGATCTGCACCTCTTAATAACCAACCAGTAATGTGAATAGCTAGCAGACAAACCATATAAATATGCACTAGATAATGATTTGAGATTATTTTTTCCTTTCCTCTCTAGTTTGGATAATTGAAACTGCTACAGATGGCCCAAGACTTACAATGGTTCAACTTATCATTTTTTATTTTATGATAGTGCAAAAGTGATATGCATTTAGTAGAAACCATACAACCATTCTGTTTTTCACTTTCATGCAAGATTCAATAAATTACATGAGATATCCAACACTTTATTATAAAATAGCCTCTATGTTAGATGATTTTTCCCAACTGCAGGCTTATGTAAGTGTTCTGAGCATGTTTAAGGTACGGCAGGCTAAGCTATGATGTTCAGTAGATTAGATATATTAAATGTATTTTTGAATTATAATATTTTCAATTTACAATGGTTTTATCAGGATGTAATATCATTGTAAGTTGAAGCACATCTGTATATGCCTATCCATCAAGGGAAAAGCAAATTGGATCCTCCCTTCCAAAAAAAAATAATCTGAGAGTCTTGTTATTCTTTTGAAATTAGCAGGATTGCTTCTTCTTTCAATATTAAAATACTCAGCAAATGCTGAATCAATTTAAGCACTTATTAAAATTAATGAAAGACTAAGGCTAAAATTATGCAACTAAAGAAATTATTTGAAATGTTTTAACTCTCTGAATCCAGGTGAAAAGTCATGTTAAGCTCATAGGAAATATTCTTAATGGTTCTAATATAATTGTCAATTATCGGGGTAAAGCAAATTGGATGCCAACAATCTTGTTCTATCTTTTGTTAAAAAAAACTTCAGAGGCCAAAGTTGGAAATAATTAAGAAAAAAATGAATTCAACTAGGCATATGTGTGTGTATATATATACATATATTGTGTGTGTATATATATATACACATATATATATGCATACACATATATATATGCTTGCTTTATTTTCCACTTATTTACCTCAGCTTCATCATCAAAGAATATTTTCAAATATTGTTTAAAATATTCTTAATACATAAATACTCTCATGTACTTTGTTTTTTATGAGTTTCAAAATAGCTCAAATTCCATGTTATTGTGACTTAGGTTGGAAACATGTTAAAAGTTTGTAGTTATTCTATGAGGCCAGCACCATTCTTATACCAAAACCTTGCAGAGACACAATAAAAAAGAAAACTTCAAGCAAACATCCTTGAATAACATCAATGCAAAAATCCTTAATAAAATACTTGCAAACTAAAACTAGCAGCATGTCAAAAAACTAATTCACCACAATCAAGTATAGGCTTCATCTCTGAGATGCAAGGCTGGTTCATCATATGCAAATCAATAAATGTGATTTATCACATACACAGAATTAAAGGCAAACACCACATAATTATCTCAATAGATGCAGAAAAGGCTTTTGATAGAATTTAACACCCATTCATGTTAAAAATTCTTAATTAACTAGGTATTGAATAAACTTAGCTCAAAATAATAAGAGCCATCTAGGACAAACCGACAGTTAATATCATGCTGAATGGGCAAAAGCTGGAAGCATTCCCCTTGAAAACCAGCACAAGACAAGGATACCAAATCTCACCATTCCTATTCAACATGTTATAGGAAATCCTAGCCAAAGCAATTAGGCAAGAGATAGAAATAAAAGACATTCAAATAAGAAAAGAGGAAGTCAAACTATCCCTATTTACAGACAACATGATTCTATATTTAGGAAACCCCATAGTCTCAGCAAAAAAACTCCTTCAACTGATAAACAACTTCAGTGAGGTTTCTGGATACAAAATCAATGTACAAAAATCAGTCTCATTCCTATACAGAAAACAGCCAAACCAAGAGCCAAATCAGAAAGGCAATCCAATTCATAATTGCTACAAAAACAACAAAATACCTAGTAATACAGAGAACCAGCGAGGTGAAAGATCTCTACAATGAGAATTACAAAACACTTCTCAATGAAATCAGAGATGACTCAAATAAATGAAAAAAAAAATCACATGCTCATGGATAGGAAGAATTAATATCATTAAAATGACCATACTGACCAAAGCAATTTACAGATTCAGTGCTATTCCTGTTAAACTAAAAATGACATTCTTCACAGACCTAGAAAAAAATCTATTTGAAAATTCAAATAGAAACAAAAAAGACTGAATAGCCAAGGCAATCCTAAGCAAAAAGAACAAAGCTGGAGGCATCACATTACTGACCTTCAAACTATACTATAGGGCTACAGTAACCAAAAAGCATGGTACTAGTACAAAAACAGGCACATAGACCAATGGAACAGAACAGAGAGCCCAGAAATAAGGCCACACACCTTTTACCATCTGATCTCCAATGAAGCTAACAAAAACAAGCAATGGGGAAAAGACTCCCTATTTGATTAATAGTGCTGGGATAACTGGTTAGTCATAACCAGAATATTGAAGCTGGACCCCTTCCTTACACTTTATACAAAAATGAACTCAAGATGGATTAAAGATTTAAATGTAAACCCCAAAACTATAAAAACCCTGGAGACAACCTAGGCAATAACAACTGGGACAGAGGAATGGGCAAAAATTTCACGGCAAAGGCACTGAAAGCAATCACAACAAAAGCAAAAATTGACAAATGGGATCTAATTAAATTAAAGAGCTTCTGCACAGCAAAAGAAACTAAACACAGTAAACAGACAACCTACAAAATAGAAGAAAATATTTGCAAACTGTTTCTGAGAAAGGTCTAATATCAAGCATCTATAAGGAACTTAAACAAAATTACAAGAAAAAAACAAACAGCCCCTTTGGAAAAGCGAGCAAAAAACATGAACAGACACTTTTCAAAAAAAGACATAATCCAAGATAATTACCTCATCTCAAGATCCTTAATTTAGTCACATCCATATAGTGCCTTTGCACATATAAGACAGGCACATTCACAGAATCTGGGGATTAGGACAAGGGTAACTTGGGGCAGAACATTATCTGCCTACCACGTCACTGCCTTTCTTTTTCTCTTTTACTACTTTCTTTCTTTTCTTTCTTTCTTCCTTTCTTTCTTTCTTTCCTTCCTTCCTTCCTTCCTCTTTCCCTCCCTCCCACTCTCCCTCTCTATCTCTCTTCCTCCCTTTCTTTCTTTCTTTCTTTTTTCTTTCTTTCTTTTTCTCTCTCTCTTTCTTTCTTTCTCTTTCTTTTTCTTTTTTTCTAAAATCTTATAAATACCCCCCATGAAATTTAGGATATGGGAAGTAAATACAAAGACTCATCAGCTACATGTGATTTTTGTTCTATCTCATATTTTCATCTTTCCTATGAAAATGAACAATGAAAGAAAAACTAAGGAAAATAAGAGAGAAAAAATATAGATTGGTACTCAAAATATCATAGAGAAACATATGTTAATATTCAGAAAAGCTAAGAATAATTGCTATAAGAAACTAAAATTATGTAACACTGAAACATCAAAATCTATAACACAGATAATTGTAACATCTTAATTATGTTAAAATGATGTCTCCATTATTTAAAGCAGAATTGAAAGTAGAGCACTTCACAAATGCAGATAATGAATATGGGTAATCAAATCCCTTAAATAAATTTACCTTATTACACAAATTATTCACTTAATTATCAGTTTGGCCTGTTGTCTTTAGATGATTACTCATTTCTCATGTGTGCAATTTTCCTTAGTTAGAACATGTAACTAATATGACAGAGACGGAGTTTTCTAAATGTTAGTGTATTGGAATTTGTGCCCAGTGCTAATTCTTTTTGGCACATCATGTTGTTTCATAATTTTTTTAAGGATACATTGTTTCCTCTGCCTGAAATCACCTATTGCTGTTATGGGAACTCATTCCTAGAACCTAGCCCAGTGCTAGCACAAACTAAATCTCCAAACTGATTGAACTAAATAATTTGAAGAAACCTAATAAATAATGTATATAAATGGTCAAAACTATGAAATGACTATACAATTATATTAGAATAACTGATACTTTAAGAGAGCCAATCAAATACTCTTTCTTCGTTTTATTCAAAACTGTGAAATATTTTGCATTTAGCTTTAAGGTCATATTACTCAAGAAGTGCTATGGGAGTTTTCAAATTTTTATGAAGGAAATTTACTACTTTGCAGTTAATCCTAGAGTATCTCCCTCAAAATACATCTCTTTCCCGTAGAAATGCATTGTACACAAGAAGCCACCAAAAAGTGAGTTTATCCCATTGGAGAACGCAGAGCAACTGAAAATTTGCAAACTCTGTATAATAAAAGATGTGGGAATGTTCTATTTCTTAATGAAAACACTTTGTATGCCTACATATAGCATTCTTAGTTAAAAACAAAGTCTTTAAATCATTTCAAAATATCTCTACATTAAAGTTATTTTGTCAAATGCATATTAAAATATATGTTTATGTACTACACTGGACAATGAAGAACAGTAATAAAAATGTAAACCCAGGCACAATCCATACTAAAATGGTATTTTGTCATTTAAATTTATTTATATCCTAAACTACTCATGTAAGATATTTGAAACAAAGCTACAGCTATGAAAAGAGTAGTTGAAGGCAAAGACTACGGAAGCATTTTGCTTTTCTGAGGCTATTTTCCATTTTTTTTTACATACGCCCTTATGTAATATGTAGACTCTTTTCTCACTTCAGACCATTTGCCCCTTTGTCAAACAAACTTGAAATTGTTAAAAGAATGTAAGTGATTTAGTATGACAATCCTTCTGAAATGAACTTTAACTATTAGTTTCACAGAAACATGATTTTAAAAATATAATGTGAAATTTTTTACTGTCATTTAATGTGAAATCTAAAGTGGAAAAATGTAACAGAGATTTATTTTATCTATCACCCTACCTGTGACTTTAAAAAATATATATAGATAGATAGTGGTAGGCTGGAGTGGTGTCCTCTGAAGAGCAATTTTCCCTCTATCATCTCAACTCTGTATTCTATGAAATCACATGAATAGGCTGGGCGTGGTGGTGCATGCCTGAATCCCAGCACTTTGGGAGGCCTAGGTAGGTAGATCACTTAAGATCGGGAGTTTGAGACCAGCCTGGCCAACATGGTGTAACCCTGTCTCTACTAAAAATAGAAAAATTAGCTGGGTGTGGTGGCACACACCTGTAGTCCCAGATACTCGGGAGGCTGAGGCAGGAGAATTGCTTGAACCTGGAAGACAGAGGTTGCAGTGAGCTGAGATTATGCCACTGTACTCCAGCCTGGGCAACAGAGCAAGACTCTGTCAAAAAAAAAAAAAAAAAAATCACATGAATAGCTTTAAATCAGCAACTTTGGGGGTAGTTTATAAAGCAGCAGATGCTATGAATCTCCCACTGGAGAACTGATTGTTAACCATTTACCACCACACCACTTAAGTATACAAGTGATCTCTGTATTGCCTTAGTCCCTAGACTATATGCTAAGATGAAATGTTTCAAATGGACAGTGCAGCCTCTCGTATTTTTTGAATTAATATAATTTAATGATTGTGAGAAAATAACTTCTTTTATGATAAAAGATGATCGAGTTAATAGAAAAATGCTGATTACATACCTTTTCTATTCCATTATTGCACTTGTCAATTTGAACATATTTTCCTAAAAAAGTCTAATTAATGGAACAAATGGGAGAGACCTTAAACTTAAATTTCTTATCAGTAAAACTGAATAGTGAGAGAATCAACAAGACCCTGGATGAAAATGAAGTCAAATAGAATATTTTTTATTGGATGTTTATTTTACAAATTTTTGTGGAATACAAATGAAAAATATACACTATGCCATTCATGGTGGTTAATGAAATGTTACTAAACTGAAGAGACTAACCCCTAAACCAATATTTACAGAACGTTGTACTAACTACTGTTATAAATGCTTAGAGTGTTCTGGAAAATCTAAGAAAGTGGCACTTAGGTTTTAGTAGGTTTTAGGAGTATTTGATAAGGGGAACAATATGGCTTTTAAAATAATTCCCCAAATAACTTAAATTCTCTCATTTGACTTTACATGTGTAAAAGTATCCAAGACAAAGCATCATCTTGAACTATCATGATAAGTAACTTTTTTCTTTTTTCTTTTTTTGAGACAGAGTCTAAAAAGGCTGTTGTGCAGTGGCACCATCTCTGCTCACTGCAACCTCCGCCTTCTGGGTTCAAGCGATTCTCCTGCCTCAGCCTCCCGAGTAGTTGTGACTACAGGCATGTGCCAACACACCTGGCTAAGTGTTGTATTTTTGGTAGAGACAGGGTTTCACCATGTTGGCCAGGCTGGCCTCGAACTCCTGACCTCAAGTAATCTTCCCGCCTTGGTCTTCCAAATGGTCAGTGACTGCGCCCAACCAATAATTAAATTCTTAAATTAAGTAGTTTGTCACTTTTACTCAGTTTATGAAGCAAGTTACTTACAATGTTCGTTCAAGTTCATTGCAAAACAAACAAGCAGACAAAAATGCAATCTCTCCTTAAAATGACTTAATGACTGCATTTATCTTACATTTAAAACCTAAATTTCTCTAAAAATTACCAGTGTGTACATAGCCAAATCAGTTATGCTAACTTGTATTCCGCTGTCTCTGTGCTTTTTGCCCCCCATGCATTTAGAAATTCTTTATCCATTAATTTCCCCTCAGCTATATGTGAGGTCTCCATAATGTATCTTATAGACCCATTAATCACTGGACTTATGAAAAGGATTAAAATGCACTGTCGTCTGCTATGAAATTTTTCCTTTTGCATTTTTAGAAGTGATTTTTAAATGAGCTTCTCATCTTATTTTTTGAAGGTTAAAACATATGCAGAAAAGCACACAATACTGAAATAGACAGTTTTATGTATTGTCACAATATTGACATACAGTTTATCCACCAATTAGATCAAGGAATACAACCCCGACAGGATCTCAGCCGACACCCTGTGCCTACTTTCTATCATTGTGCTCCTCCTCATCCCCTACCTTAACTATCATTTGCATTTCTATCCTTCAGGTTTTTTTTTATATTTTTAAAAACTTTACATACATGGAATATTACAGAATGTATTATTTCACGACTGTTTTACTTTGTTAATTGTTACATTTGTAAGATTAACCTGTATCTATAGTTTTTTTTTCCATTTTCATTATTATACAACATCACATTCTATAGCTATGTCAGGATTTGTTTATTAATTTTACAGTTTATACGCATTTAGGCTCCTTTTATATCCTAGATATTAGGAGCTATGTTGTTTTGAACCTTCTTTGAAGTCTTCTGATGTACAGGTACACTATTTTTTATGTATGAATACATAGGAGAGTTATATAATTTATTAATAGTATGTGGATATTTATTGCGATAGATGATGAATTTTTTATGAATTTAAATTTCCACCAACAGTGTTTCAAAATTTCAATTTTTTTTATCCTTGGCAATGCTTGGTACTGTCAGGTTTTGTTTGTTTGTTTGTTTGTTTGTTTTGGAGACAGAGTGTTGCTCTGTCACCCAGGTTGAAGTGCAGTGGTGCAATCTCAGCTCACTGCAACCTCCGCCTCACGGGTTCAAGTGTTTCTTCTGCCTCAGCCTCCCGAGTAGCTGGGACTACAGGCACATGCCACCACACCCAGCTAATTTTTGTATTTTTAGTAGAAACAGGGTTTCTCCATATTGGCCAGACTGGTCTTGAACTCCTGACCTCTTGGTCCACCCGCCTCGGCCTCCCAAAGTGCTGGGATTACAGGCATGAGCCACCGTGCCTGGCCCAGTTTTATAAATTATAAATTTACTAGTGAATATATATTATATTTTAGTGATATTAAACCTTTTATTAAAATAATGTATACTCAAAAGCTCCCAACTACTAAATATACAGCTCCATAAATTATCACGAAGTAAACATATAAGAAATGATAACTTTTTTTTTGTTACAGCTCCAACATTTAAAGAGTTGTAAGGCCTCAATGTTATCTTGACAAGGAAAAAAAGCTGAAAAACTGAAAATTAATAACTTTTTTTAGACTCATTTGAGATTTTATGTAACAGAACAAATCTGAAAGATACACAAACAAAGAAAATCACAGCCGAGATCACCTTACATGGGGCAGGAGCTACTGAAGCTTTAAACTGATAGGAACACTTACATTACAATTTTGAGGAATTACTGGAAAACCAGCGTGCTTTACCTTAAAAGTGAGAAACTCCTTTTAGCCCAGTTTTAGGAGACATCATCACATTTGTGGGTTTTACTTCTAGGACCTGACCAGGTTATTAGGGTGAAGACCTGAAAAAAACTGCTCCATGTTTCTGGCACAGGAGCAGAGAAGTAACTACTTTGAAATATATTCAGAGAATTGTCCATAAAAACAGTCTGCTTTGCATAGGGAAAGACATTAGCAGGGCCTTATCTGGCCTGAGGAAAAGAAGGCTGCCCTCTAGTTTTCCTGATTCACTGAACGAATTTGGAGGAACTAAGAAAGACTTATCAAAGTCACAGCCCAGGGATGCAGGCTCATTAAAAGACTAAAATTTGATATAAGATTATAGAAAGTGCCCCCTTTTCCATACCTTGAGACTTAAGCAACAGGTCTCTAGTAAAATAAATGTGGATTGAAACTGGGATTTGCTGCACAGCACAGACTGTTTAAAACGGAATTCTTAGGGAAATCCAAAGACAACAGAGGAAACAAAATCAAGGACCCTAGAGGAATTTGAAGACTCGGACACGTACAACTACAGAAAATATTAAACAAAAGCCTAATTATAGCCAGAAACACATAAAACCTTTCACTAAAGCCTGACTTACCTAGGTTCCTATTACCAAATACATCATGTCTAGCTTTCTACAAAAAAATCACAAGGTATGATAAAAGACAGGAAAAGATAGTATGATGAGACAAAGTAATCACCAGCATCTGATTCAGTCATGACACAGATTTTGAAATTAGCAGACATTAAATTTTTAAAATAACAATGATTAATGTATTAAGGACTCTAATGGAAAAAGTATACATGTAAAATCATACGGGCAATGTAAGCACAGCAATTACAACTCTAAAAAATAATCAATAAAAAATGCTAATAATCAAAAATATAAAATAAGTAAAGAATACCTTTAATGGCCTCTTCAGTAGACTGGATGTTATGGTTTGAATATTCGTATCAAGACTCATGTTCAAATTCTATTGTAATTGTGACAGTATTAAGAGGTGGGGTGCCAAGATGGCCAACTAGAAACAGCTATGGTCGGAAACGCCCACCAAGAAGAAAGAAAATGGCAAGTGAATGCTGCATCGGCAGGTGAGGTATCTAGGTTCTCTCATTAGGGTTGACTAGGCATTTGGCGTGACCTGTGGAGAGCAAAGAAAAGTAAGGTGATATGATGGCCCACCTGGGAGCCCCACAGAGCAAGGGGAGCTCCCACCCACAGCAAAGAGAGGCGGTGAGTGATGATGCTACCATGCCCAGGAAACCACATTTTTTCCACAGATCTGTGCAACCTGTGGATCAAGAGATCCCCCTCATGAGCTCATGCCACCAAGGCCTTGGGTCCCAAGCACAGAGCTGTGCAGATTCTCAGGGACCGCTCATCTGGAGATCGCCTAAGACTACCACGTTCCTAGGAGGAGGGGCAGCAGCCATCACTGCAGCTCCAATCTGCTGTCTTTCCCCTGCCGGTGCTAGGGAGACTAGTTGGTTAGCACCCAGGAGGAATTCCCAACAGTGCATCACAGTGGCTGTGGCAGATCATGGCCAGACTGCCTTTTTTGGGGGGCGGTGGGGACGGAGTCTTGCGCCCAGGCTGGAGTGCAGTGGTGCGATCTCGGCTCACTGCGAGCTCTGCCTCCCAGGTTCACACCATTCTCCTGCCTCAACCTCCCGAGTAGCTGGGACTACAGGCGCCCACCTCCATGCCCAGCTAATATTTTTTATTTTTAGTAGAGACGGGGTTTCACCGTGTTAGCCAGGATGGTCTTGATCCTGACCTCGTGATCCACCCGCCTCGGCCTCCCAAAGTGTTGGGATTACAGACGTGAGCCACCACGCCCAGCCTGCCAGATTGCCTCTTCAGACAGGACGCTGACCCATTCCTCCTCACTGGGTGAGGCCTCCCTGCAGGAATTTTAGCAACTCTAGCCATGGATTAGGGAGGAATTCTGATCTCCCTGGGACTGAGCCCTTGCGGGGAGGAGTGGCTGTGGTCTCTGCAAACAAGCAGACTTAGTCTTTTGTCCTGCTGACTCTGAGGAATCTGGGCAGTCCAGACGAGTGGGATTCCCCCCAGTGCAGCACACTCCCTCCACCAAGGGGGAGGCAAAGCACTTTATTAAGTGGGTCCCAGATCCCATGCCTCCTGACTGGGTGAGACACCTCAACAGGGGTCACCAGACACCTTGTATAGAAGCATTTCCACCAGCACCAGGTCAGAGTCCCTGTGGGACAGAGATCCCAGAAGAAGAGGCAGTCATCTTTTCTCTTCTGCAGCCTCCACTGGTGACATCTCCGGGTGCAGGAGAGACCCAGGAAATTCAGGTCTGGAGTTCACCCCAGCAAACTGCAGCAGCCCTACTGAAGAAGGGCCTGACTGTTAAAAGAAAAACAAACATACAAAAAGCAACAACAACACAGCATCAATAAAAAAATTCCCACGAAAACCCCATCCAAAGGTCAGCAGCCTCAAAGATTGAAGCTAAATAAACTCACAAAGATAAGAATCCATGAAAAAAATGCCAAAATTCAAAAAGCCAGAGTGCCTTTTCTCCTCCAAAGGATCAAACACCTTTCCTGCAAGGGCACAGAACAGGGCAGAGGCTGAGATGGATGGCTAGATGGAAGTAGGCTTCAGAAGGTAAGTAATAACAGACTTTGCTGAACTAAAGGAGTATGTTCTAACTCAATGCAAAGAAGCTAAGAACCATGATAAAACATTACAGAAGCTATTAATCATAATCAGTTTAGAGTGGAACATAAATGACTGGAAGGAGCTGAGAAACACAAAACGAGAACTTCACAATGCAACCACAAATATCAATAACCAAATAGACCAAACAGAGGAAAGAATTTCAGAGCTTAAACACTATCTTGCTAAAGTAAGACAGGCAGACAAGATTAAAGAAAAAAGAATGAAAAGAAATAAACAAAACCTCCGAGAACTATGGGATTATGTAAAAAAGATTAAACCTATGACTGATTGGGATACCTGACAGAGACAGGGAGAACAGAACCAAGTTAAAAAACTTACTTTAAGATATTATCCAGGAGAACTTCCCCAACCTAGCAAGACAAGCCAACATTCAAATTCAGGAAATTCAGAGAACCTCAGTAAGATACTCCATGAGAAGATTAACACCAACACACATAATCTTCAGATTCTCCAAAGTCAAAAAGAAGGAAAAAATTGTAAGGGCAGCCAGAAAGAAAGATAGGGTCACCTACAAAAAGAAGCCCATCAGACTAACAGCAGACCTCTCGCAGGAAACCCTACAAGTCAGGAGAGATTGTGAGCCAATATCAACATTCTTTAAAAAAAAGAATTTCCAACCAGAATTTCATATCCAGCCAAACTAAACTTCATAAGCAAAGGAGAAATAAAATCCTTTCCAGACAAGCCAATGCTGAGGGAATTTGTGGCCCTATGTTTGCCTTGTAAGAGCTCCTGAAGAAAACACTAAATGTGGAAAGGAAAAACCATTATCAGCCACTGCAAAAACACACTGAAGTACACAGAACAACAACACTACGAAACAACTACATCAACAAGTCTGCAAAATAATGAGCTAACATCATGATGACATGATCAAATTCACACATAACAATATTAACCTTAAATGTAAATGAAATAAATGTCCCAATTAAAAGACACAGAATGGCAAACTGGATAAAGAGTCAAGACACATTTCTGTGCTGTATTCAAGAGACACACCTCTCATGCAAAGACATACATAGGCTCAAAATAAAGGGATGGAGAAAAATTTACTAAGCAAATGGAAAGCAGAAATTGACAGGGGTTGCAATACTAGTTTCTGACAAAACAGACTTCAAACAAACAAAGATCAAAAAAGACAAAAAGGACATTACATAATGGTAAAGAGATCAATTCAATAAGAAGAACTAACTACCCTAAATAGATATTCACCCCAAACAGAAGCATGCAGCTTCATGAAACAAGTTCTTAGAGACCTACAAAATACCAAAACAGCATGGTTCTGGTACAAAAACAGACACATACACCAATGGAAGAATAGAGGTATCAGAAATAAGACTGCACATCTACAATAATCTGATCTTCAACCAACCTGACAAAAACAAGCAATGGAGAAAGGATTCCCTATTTAATAAATGGTGGTGGGAAAACTGGCTAATCATATGCAGAAAATTGAAACTGCACCCCTTCCTTACACCTTCTACAAAAATTAGCTCAAGTTGAATTAAAGACTTAAATGTAAAACCAAAACTATAAAAACCCTAGAAGAAAATCTAGGCACTACCATTCAGGACATAGGCATGGGAAAAGATTCATGATAAAAACACCAAAAGCAATTACAACAAAAGCAAAAATTGACAAATGGGATCTAATTAAACTAAAGAGCTTCTGCACAGCAAACGAAACTATCATTAGAGTGAATAGACAACCTACAGAATGGGAGAAAATTTTTTCAATCTATCCTTCTGTCAATGGTCTAATATCTAGAATCTACAAAGAACTTAAACAAATTTACGAGCCAAAAAAAAAAAATCCCATTAAAAAGTGGGCAAGGCCGGGCTCACACCTGTAATCCCAGCACTTTCGGAGGGTGAGGTGGGTAATCACAAGGTCAAGAGTTCAAGACCAACCTGACCAATATGGTGAAACTCTGTCTCTACTAAAAAGTACAAAAACTAGCTGGGCATAGTGGCATGAACCTGCTACCATGTCCCAGCTACTCGGGAGGTTGAGGCAGGAGAATCACTTAAATCCAGGAGGCGGAGGTTGCAGTGAGCCAAGATTGTGCCACTGCACTCCAGCCTGGGCAACAGAGTGAGACTCTGTCTCAAAAAAAAAAAAAAAAAAAAAAAAAAGTGGGCCAAGTGCATGAACAGGCACTTCTCAAAAAGACATTTATGCAGCCAAGAAATATATTTAAAAAGCTCAACATCACTTATCATTAGAGGAATGCAAATCAAAACCACAATGAGATATCATCTCACACCAGTCAGAATGGCAATTACTAGAAAGTCTAGAAACAACAGAAGCTGGCAAGGCTGTGAAGAAATAGGAACAGTTTTACACTGTTGGTTGGAGTGTAAATTAGTTCAACCATCGTGGAAGACAATGTGGTGATTCCTCAAAGACCTTGAGGCAGAAATACCACTTGACCCAGATATCCCATTACTGGTTATATACCCAAAAGAACATAAATAATTCTATTATAAAGATACATGCACACGTATGTTCACTGCAGCACTATTAACAATAGCAAGACATGGAATCAACTCAGATGCCCACCAATGATAGATGCAATAGATAAAACGTGGTTCATATACACCACAGAATACTATGAAGCCATTAAAAGAAATGGCATAATGTCCTTTGCGGGGATATGGATAGAGCTGGAACTCACTATCCTCAGCAAATTAACACAGAAACAGAAAACCTAACACTACACATTTTCACTTATAAGTGGGAGCTAAACAATGAGAAGACATGGACAGAAGGAGGAGGAACAATGAACCCCGGAAGCTGTTGGGAGGTGTGGGAAAAGGGATCAGGATAAATAGCAATTCATGTGGTGCCTAATACCTGGGTGATGGGCTGACAGGTGCAGCAAACCACCATGGCACATGTTTACCTGTGTAACAAACCTACACATCCTCCACATGTATCCCAGATCTTAAAATAAATAAAATTTAGAGTATGATCTTTTACCAAAAAAAAAGGCATGGCCTTTACAAAGTGTTTAAGTCATGAGGGCTCTGCTCTTGTGAACAGATTAATGTCATTATTGTGGGAATTGTTTAGTTACACTAACAGCAAATTGTTCTAAAATAAAGTTCACTCCTTTCTCTCTCTCTGTGTATATTTGCCCTCCACCATGCTGTAATGTAGCAAAAAGACTCTCCCCAGATGTCCACATCATGCTTTTAGAATTCCCAGCCTCCAGGGCTATGTGACATAAAATTTTTCTTTATAAATTACCCAGTTCATGGTATTCTGTTGTAGCTGCATAAAGTGAACTAAAACACTGCACAAAGCTGAGAGAATAATTAGGGAGTATGATGACATGTAAATAGAAACTTTCTAAACTGAAATGCAAAAAACAAATAAAAAAATAGTATCCAAGAACAGTAGGACAATTTCAAAAGGCAGAGCATGCATGTAATTGGAACATCAGAGAGAAAAAAAATAAAGAACCTTGATGAAAAATATTTGAAGTATTAATAATAATGGCCAAGAATTTTTAAAAACTAATTACAGACACCAAATCACAGATCCAAGAAGTTCAGATAATACCAAATATAATAATTACAAAGCATTTCTACCTAGGTGTAACATATTCAGAATGCAGCAAGCTAAAGACAAAGACAAACCTGGTTAAAAAGAACCAGGGTAAGCGGGATACCTTTCCAACAGAAGAACAAGAATAATAATTATATTGGGCTCAATATCAGAAACTTTAGAGCAAGAAGAGCACAATTTGAGATATCTAAAGTGTTCCAAAAAATACCTGGAATCCTAGAGTAAAATAAATTGTTCTTCAAAAATGAAATAGGCCTAAAGACTCTCAGATAAACAAAAACTGAAAGACATTTTTGCCAGGAGGTTTGCCCCACAATAAATATTAAAGAAGCTCTTTAGAAGAAAGGAAAATTTTATAGATCTGTAACTTAGGTCTACATAAAGAAAGAGAAAGTGTCAAAGAAGGAATAAGTTAAAGTAAAATACAATATTTTATTTTTGTATTCTTAATTGATTTAAAAAAAACCTCTTGTTCTAAATAATTACTGTAACAATGAAGTCATTGATTATAGCATATGGTTAAGTGAAAATGAATGACAGTAATATTATTAGAAGTAGGAGTGAGAAACTGAAACTGAGGCTGGGGTTGCCCAGAGCCTTAGGGGCCCATCCCCAACCTCCAGTGTGTCCAGAAGGCAGGACATAGAGTGAAAGATTACTTTTATGCCTCAAGATTTAATGTTTGCTTTGGGTTTTAGACTTACTTGGGAGATGTTACCCCTTTATTCTTTCCTAGTTTTCCCTTTTGGAACGGGAATGCCCACCCTATGCCTGTCCCACCATTGTATTTTGGAAACACGTAACTTGTTTGGTTTCACAGTTCACAGGTGGAGAGCAATTTGCCTCAGAATTAATCATACTTTGAATCTTACCCATATATACTTTAGATGATGCTCAGATGACATTTTTGAACTTAGACTTTAAAATGAATGCAGGAATGAATTAAAACTTTGGGGCTATTGAGATTGAATTAATGTACTCTGCATGTGATGTAAGAACATGAATCTGGGGAGGCGGGGGTAGAATGCTATGTTCTGAACATGTTCCCTAACACTCTTAAGTTGAAAGTTAATCACTAATGTGATAGTATTAAGAGGCGGGGCCTTGAAGACATCATTAAGTCATGAGGGCAGAATCCTCATGAATGGGATTAATGACCTTATAATTCCTTTTAACTCCTTCCAACATGTGAGGCCACAGTAAGAAGTGCCAACCTAAAGCAGATAGCAGCCTTCACCAGACAGTGAATCTGCTAGTGTCTTAGACTTGAACTTAGACTTCCCAGCCTCCAGAACCATAAGAAACACATGTATGTCCTTTATAAATTACTCAGTTTCTGGTATTATACTATAGCAGCACAGAAGAACCTAAGACAACATATTTGAATGTTGGCATTGATTGGAGGTGTATATTATAAACTCTAGTAAAACCACTAAAATAAGATTTTTTAAATTAAATAATTTAAATAATTAGCCAATAAATTAGATAAAGCGGAATTATAAAAATCTTCCATTTACACATGAGAAGGTAGAATGATAAAAATAAGTATGAGAGAAAAAGTTAAAAATAGCTAACAAGAGGTTGCATTATAATTCAGTCATAGCAATAATCATTTGAAATGTAAGTGGTCTAAACAGAACAGTTAAAAACATAGGTTTAAAAAATTACATAGGAAAAGAAGTTTCAAGTGTATATGTCTACAAGAAACCCACTTTAATATAATAACATAGAGTGGCTAGAAGTAAAAAGATGAGAAAATATTTCTTGCAAACACTAACCAAAAGAAAGTTGGCATATTTATACTACTATCGAAAAATTAGACTTAAAAACAAGAAATATTATTATGAATAAATATTATTATGAATAAAGAATATTATTATGCATAATGAAAAAAGAGTCAATTTTTCAAAAAGTTGTTAATGTCCTAAATATGTATGTACCTAAAAACGGAGCCTGAAAGTACATGAGGCAAAAACTAATGAAATTGAAAATAGAAATAGATAAATACAGAATTTTAGTTGGAGCCCCAAACAGTCCTCCAAGTAATTTTTAGCACAAATAAATATAAAAACAGTAAGGATATGAAAGACCTGAAAAACATTGGAATTCAGTAATAGATAACTGGAAAATTCCCAAATATTTAAAAATTAAGCAACAAACTTCTAAAAACCTCATGAATCAAAGATAAAGTCCCAAGGGAAATTTTTAAAAATATACTGAATAGAAATGAAAACACAACATAGATATTTTTAAAAACACAAACGGTCCAAATTTAGGATATGCAGCTAAAGCAGTTCTAAGAAGGAAATTTATGATGTTAAATGCTATAATAGAAACAATAAAAGTTCTCAAATGATAATCTAAGATTCCATTTTAAAACACTAGGAGAATACAAGTAAATCCAAAGCAAGTAGAATAATGAATATAATAAAAGTTGAAATCAATAAAATTTAAAACACAACAATGATAAAGAACACTAATGCAACCAATAGCCCATTCTTTAAAAGTATTATTCAAATTGAGAAAAGTCTAGCCAGAGTGGCAAAAAATTAAAAAATTGAAGACACAAATTACCAATATCAGATACAAAAGAAGGGATATCACCACAGACTCCACAGAGGTAAAATAATAATAAGGGAATGTCATGAATAACTATATTACTATAAGTTCAAAATGAGGATGAAAAGACCAGCAGTCCCCAACCTTTTTGGCACTAGGGATGGGTTTCATGGAAGACAATTTTTCCACAGACGGGGGTGGAGAGATGTGGGGAGATGGTTTAAGGATTAAACTGTTTCTCCTCAGATCATCAGGCATTAGCTTTTCATAAGAACCATGCAAACTAGATCCTTCACATGTGCAGTTCACAACAGGATCCATGCTCCTATGAGAATCTAATGCCACCACTGATCTGACAGGAGTTGAAGCTCAGGCTGTAATGCTTGCTCACCTCCTGCTCTGCAGCCTGGTTCCTAACAGACCACAGACCAGTCAGTACCAGTCCATGGCCCAGGGGTTGGGGACCCCTGAAATAGACCAATTTCTTAAAAGACACAAACTAATAAAACTGACTCAAAATAATATATATAATTTTAATAACTCTATACCTATTAAATAAATTGACTTTCTAGTTTCTAACTTTTCTGTAAAAGAAAAACTCAAGGGTTATATAGTTTCACTGTCAATTTCCACCAAACATTTAATGAAGCTGACTTAGGTCAGCTCTTTTCTTTTCTATCCCCTTCAGTTTGTTTATGTAATACATTTCTAGTATAGTTAAATTCACCTGTCATAGCCTCAAATCAGTCTGCACACCTATGTCCTGGTTGATTTGTTGAAAAAATATTATATACAATAAAATTTAGACATTTTGGTGGATAATTGTATGGGTTGTGACTAAGTTATAAAGATGTATGGCTACAGCTACAGTTTCATACAGAACACTCTCAATGTTTAGTATGTGTATGTGTGTGATAATTTTATATTTATAACTACTTGCAAAAATGGCACAGAATTTTCATGTACCATTTACTCAGCTTTTTCTTCTGTTAAAATGTTACATAACCATAGGAGATTTATCAAAACTAAGAAATTAACTTTGTCACGATACTTTTAACTATAATATAGACCTTGTTTGGATTTAGCCCGTTCTTTCCACTGTGATTTTGCTGTTTGAGGATCCAGTCTGGTATGCTACATCACATTTATTGTATTCTTAGTTTCCTTCATTCTGTGATCATAACTCAGTCTTCTCTTGTCTTTTATGACCTTTGCACTTCTGAAGAATACTTGTCATTAATTTTTTATATAAAATGTCTTTAAATTTGGGGTTGTATATTTTTTCTTTCATGATCAGAATGGAGGTGTTCACTATTGGGAAAAGTAAAACAAAAGTACTGTGCCCTCCTTATTCAGAAGGTATTTGATATTTACAGGTATTGCTAGAGGTCTTGACCTTGATCATCTGATTAAAGTTGATTCACTATGGTGAAATTATTATTTTTCCCTTTGTAATTAGTAAATATTTGGGAGAAGATACTTTGAGATAATTCAAATGTTCTAGTTCTGCTTAAACTTTTCTCAACAATATTACCATCCATGAGTAGTAGTTACTCAGTCTGCAGTAACTTTCTTCTATCTCATCAAGAAACCTAGCTCAAATGACCTACAACATATTTACTTATTTGTTCAACCATAGTATACAAAAACAATTGTTTCCAAACTTCTAAACCACATCTCTGTGAGAAACAATTTACTTACTATAATAATAGTTTACAATATTATTGTTCAGTTCTTTTTATCTTTAGCCGTTTGATATCCATTCAGTGTCTTCACTGATACAAGATAATAAATTGATATTATTTTCTGATGATAATTTATAGTAAGGCTATGTATTTATATCAAGCTCTATTGTTACCTGAAATGTATTATATGGCTTAAAGAAATTATTTTCATTTTTTTAACACATGGGGTCTCACTTTGTCACCCAGGCTAGAGTGCAGGGGTGCAATCATAGCTCATTGAAGCCACAGCCTCTTGGGTTCAAGAAATCCTCTCACCTCAGCCTCTTGAGCAGGTGTGACTATAGGCATGTGCCACCATGCCTGGTTATTTTATTATTACTACTATTTGTACAAACAGAGTCTCACTACATTGCTCAGTCTGGCCTCAAACTCCTGGACTTGATCAATGCTCCTGCCCAAAGTTCTGGGATTACAGGCATAAACCACCACATGTGTCCAGCATTCTTAATTATTATATTGTCACATCATGTTCTTACTCATGATAAGGCACCTACGTTCAAATTATTAGAAAGAATACATTTTTATATGAAAATAAGTCACCAAACTTCACATGAAAGAAAGAAAAGTAGAAAAATTAAGCAGCAATTTTACATGGGTGATTTAGTGGAAAAAAAGGTCATTTAAAAAGACATATAAGTCTGCCCATATATCACAGGATCTATGTTGAACACAATTACCAAATCTTCTAAATTTTAAGTAAAAGAAAATGAAATTAGGTTCAGATTCATCTCATTGTCTTTATATAATGATATATATATATGTGTGTGTGTGTGTATATATGTATATATATAGTACACATTTATATAGGCTCTTTAAAATCTTTATTGCTCCCTGAAATTTATTAAAGAATAGTCATAGATATCTAAGCTTAATGGCTCTTCAGAAATTGGACCAAGTACCAAAAAAAATCAGATAAACAATATCAAGGCAATAAAGTGAGAGAACAAAATCTTTGTCACAGCAAGTAAAGAGAGATCAATGTTTTCCATGTAACATAAGATAAAAGCATACAATCAGGCATAGTTTTTTTTTCTTGGAAATATTGCATTAACTTTAACTTTACTAAAATATGTGCATAGACAAATATATAATGATATAAATAAGTTTGAACATTAGACACTATTTTAAATAGCATTTGTTTTGACTCATTTGCTGTCTCTTTTCTTCATAAAATATACTGAACATGAATGAGAAATGCTATTGTATTTATGAAAACTAAAGATGTTTTAAAAAGCCTTGAAAAAGCTAAGGCACTAAAAATACTTGCTGGTGAATAGATGTGGGTGACACAACTACAAAGGATCAGAAACGTTAAAAATATACTGCATTTAGTATATTTTTACAAGAGTCTCTGAATTCTCACTTCACTTTAAAAAAACTGAAAATGAAAATTGCAAAAAGTATGACATAGGTATGTTTTATAAAGAAAAAGTGATCAATATTTGCACTCAAAATAGGGAGAAGAAGCTTGGCCCTATAACAAAATATAGCAGAATAAATATATTTTTATATATGTGACTTTTTAGAAAGCTAAGATGATTTACTTTTTCATTTAACCCAAACTCCTAGTTCCAACGAATAAGAGAGTTTCTTGCCCTTCCTTCATTCCCAGACATGAGGGACAAGGATTTTCATTTCATGCCATTTGTTTTCATACTTGTCTTTTTTATTACTTTCAAGTATTTTGCTTTTGATTTTCAATATATATTTAATATTTTAGTGTTCTTTCTTGTACCTTATTTCACTAAATTGTTATATATATGCATTTTTTTCTTATTTATTATATTTACTTTTTATCATATTTAGTAGAAGACTTTTTTCACCTCCTGTTTTGATTTGTTTATTTAATTTTATTCTCTTATCATCTTTGACTATTTCTTCTCCATGGGTGATTTTTCTGTATATTTTTCTTAGTCTTTGTATCTCATTTTTACATAGAAATTTTGGAATTTGTGCTTTGTCATTCATATGTAAGAACATAATATAATTCTAAAAATATAATGTGGAGCTGTGTGTACATGTGCGGAATATATGAAATATCCAACTTCACCTTAGGACAAATGAAAAAGCAATCTGCCACTGTGCTGGTGATGTTTAAACACCACAAAGAGAAAGGGCCAATGCTAACATTAGAATTCTCAGTTGACTGCCATTTTTTTCAATATTAGAAAATAATTTTTTATGTTGTTTTGTTTTTAATTTTGCCAAATGGTTATTTATTTGCCTGTTTGGGGTCCAGGGTTACATAGTTAACTGCTAGTGTTCTGTGCCATAGGTAAAATAAGAGTTGGTTTAGGTATATCAGGTTTACTTGTTCCTCTTCAGCCCACATCTCAACATCGTTACACTCAATTCTCCAAAGCTCTCTGGAACCGATTCGCTCCCTATTTTGATGCTATGCTCTTAGGTAATAAGTTAAGCTGTGATCTCAGCTGCTCTGCCCTCTTTCTTTACCATAATTTAAAGAAATTGCATAAACTACATGAATACTTTTGTTCTTTTTGCCTTCTTGAATAAAAAAACTTTCACGTTTACTTTTAAGTCTCTACTGTTAAACATCTACTAATTTTATTTATACATTTCTTTTTTAAAACAAAATAAAAGTTTTTTTTAATTTTAGATTAATTATTTCTTCTAAAAAATGGGACACATGTGCAGAAATGCAGGTTTGTTACATAGGTATATGTGTGCCTAGGTGGTTTGCTGCACCCATTGACCTGTCCTCTAAGTTCCCTCCCCTTACCCCCTGCCCCGCAACAAGCCCTGGTGTGTGTTATTCCCCTCTCTGTGTCCATGTGTTCTCATTGTTAAACTCCCACTTATGAGTGAGAACATGTGGTGTTTGGTTTTCTGTTCCTGTGTTAGGTTGTTGAAGATGATGGCTTTCCTGGAAACCATCATTCTGAGCAAACTATTGCAAGGACAGAAAACCAAACACCACATGTTCTCACTCATAGGTGGGAATTGAACAATGAGAACACATGGACACAGGGTGAGGAACATCACACATGGGGGCCTGCGGGGGCATGGGGAGAGGGGCGAGGGATAGCATTAGGAGATACACCTAATGTAAATGATGAGTTGACGGGTGCAGCACACCAACATGACACATGTATACATATGTAACAAACCTGCACATTGTGCACACGTACGCTAGAACATAAAGTAAACTAAAAAAAAGACTCAAAAAAAAAGATGACGGCTTCCAGTTTCATCTATATTCCTGCAGAAGACAAAATCTTAATCCTTTTTATGGCTGCATAGTATTCCATGGTGTATATGTATCACATTTTCTTTATCCAGTCTATCATTGATGGTCATTTGGGTTGGTTCCATGTTTTTGCTATTGTGAATAGTGCTGCAATAAACATACGTGTGCATGTGTCTTTATAGTAGAATGATTTATATTCCTTTGGGTATATACACAGAAATGGGATTGCTGGGTCAAATAGTATTTCTGGGTAAGATCCTTGAGGAATTGCTATACTGTCTTCCACAATGGTTGAACTAATTTACATTTCCACCAACAGTCTCAAAGTGTTCCTATTTTTCCACAGCCTTGCCAGCGTCTATTGTTTCCTGACTTTTTAATAATTGCAATTCTAACTAGTGTGAGATGGTATCTAATTGTGGTTTTGATTTGCATTTCTCTGATGATCAGTGATGTTGAGCTTTTTTTCATTTGTTAGTTGGCCACATAAATGTTTTCTTTTGAGAAGTCTGTCCATATACTTTGCCCACTTTTTGATGAGGTTGTTTTTTTTTTTCTTGTTAATTTAACTTCGTTGTAAATCCTGGATACTAGACCTTTATAGATTGTAAACATTTTCTCCCATTCTGTAGGCTTCCGGTTCACTCTGATGATAGTTCATTTTCCTGTGCAGAAGCTCTTTAGTTTAATTAGATCCCATTTGTCAATTTTGGCTTTTGTTGCAATTGCTTTTGGTGTTTTTGTCATGAAGGCTTTGCCCATGCCTATGTCCTGAATGGTGTTGCCTAGGTTTTATTTTAGGGTTTTCATGGTTTTGGGTTTTACATTGAAGTCTTTAATCCATTCTGATTTAATTATAGTATAAGGTGTAAAGAAGGGATCCAGTTTCAGTTTTCTGCATATGGCTAGCCAGTTTTCCCAGCACCATTTACTGAATAGGAGATCCTTTTCCCATTGCTTGTTTTTGTCAGGTTTTTCGAAGATCAGATGGTTGTAGTCTGTTCCATTGGTCTATATGCCTGTTTTGATACCAGTACCATGCTGTTTTGGTTACTGTAGCCTTGTAGTGCAGTTCAAAGTCAGGTAGCGTGATGCCTCCAGCTTTGCTCTTTTTGCTTAGGAATGTCTTGGCTCTATGGGGTCTTCTTTGATTCCATATGAAATTTAGAATAGTTTTTTTTTTCTCATTCTGTGAAGAATGTCAATGGTAGTTTGATGGGAATAGCGCTGACTCTATAAATTACTTTGGGCAGTATGGCCATTTTCATGATATTGATTCTTCCCATCCATGAGGATGAAATGTTTTTCCATTTGTTGTTGTCCACTTATTTCCTTGAGCAGTGCATTTGGTTCTCCTCGAAGAGGTCCTTCACATCTCATGTTAGCTGTGTTCCTAGGCATTTTATTCTCTTTGTAGTGATTGTGAATGGGGGTTCATTCATGATTTGGCTCTCTGCTTGTCTATTGTTGGTGTAAAGGAATGCTTGTGATTTTTGCACATTGATTTTGTATCCTGAGACTTTGCTGAAGTTGCTCACCCATTTAAGGAATTTTGACCTGAGACGATGAGGTTTTCTAAATATAAAATCATGTTGTCTGCAAAGACTATTTGACTTCCTCTCTTTCTATTTGAATACTATTTATTTTTTTCTCTTGCCTGATTGCCCTGGCCAGAACTTCCAATATATGTTGAATAGGAGTGGTGAGAGAGGGCATCCTTGTCTTGTCCCAGTTTTCAAAGGGAATGCTTCCAGCTTTTGTCCATTCAATATGATATTGGCCGTGGGTTTGTCAGAAATAGCTATTATTATTTTGAGATATGTTCCATCAATACCTAGTTTATTGAGAGTTTTTAACATTAAGGGATTTTGAATTTTATCAAAGGCCTTTCCTGCATCTATTGAGATAATCATGTGGTTTTTGTCTTTGCTTCTGTTTATGTGATGGATTACACCTACCAAGACTAAACCAAGAAGAAGTCAAATCCATGAATAGACAAATAACGAGTTCTGAAATTGAGGCAGTCATTAATAGCCTACCAACAAAAAATAGCCCAGCACCAGACAAATTCAGAGCTGAATTCTACCAGAAATACGAAGAGGAGCTGATACCATTGCTTCTGAAACTATTCCAAACAACAGAAAAGGAGGGACTCCTCCCTAACTCATTTTATGAACAAAGCATCATCCTGATACCAAAACTGGAAAGAGAAACAACGAAAAAAGATAACTTCAGGCCAACATCCCTGACGAACATTGATGCAAAAATCCTCAACAAAATACTGGCAAACCAAATGTAGCAGCACATCAAAAAATTTACCTGCCATGATCAAGTCAGCTTCATCCCTAGGATGCAAGGCTGGTTCAAATCAATACATTTCTTAATAGTATTAAATCACATAATTTCAATCTCCCCTTAGTCTTCTACATAAATAATTTAAACTTGTTCAACTACAGAGTCAAAGTTATGTGAATGATGTTTGCTAAGATTTGAAAATAATGCCTTCTGTCAGTGAGTAGAAAACTGCCTCAGGACTTCCAAAAGCTATTCGGTTTTGCCTACTTGATTGTAAAACCATTCTAACAACACTCAAAACTTGATGCACTTGTAAGTTTGCTTGTCAAAGATAAATAAAGCCAGATACTACTTAAAGTGGTGAAATCACTTTATTCAATAACTACACACAGAAAGGGAAAGAGCTGAGCTCCAACCTAATTTGTGCAGAGGTGACTGCATGGGTGTTTTAAAGGAAGAATGAGAGAGTAAAGAGGAAGAGTGACTGAGGACTCACATAGAATAAGAGAAGTGAAAAATAACAAAGTGCTGATTGCTGTGAGTGTGAATAGGCTAGTTGCATCTGGTAGATGGGAATCGTAGAGGTTAAGATTCTATCCTCTCAGGGTGACTGGGAGACAGAGGCCGTGTCCTTACTGATGACTGCATTTCCAAGGTATGGGTTTCAGGTCCTTGAGAAAGACATTCCTGAGTTGTAAGAGATAAACATAAATCTCAAAGAGACAGAAGAAGGATTCACAAGTGTAAGAAGTTGTTGCTAAGTGCTCTAGAAGATGGAAGTAATGATCTGTCCTCAGATGTTGGCCTAGAGCAATCAGTAAATCCTTTTGGCAGCCCTGAGCTATCTCAGAAAGGAACTTGATTTGAGATGTTTCAGGTATTCCACATTAGGCTACTAGATACCATAGTGGGGTTAGTCAAGTCTCTTAGTTCAGGGATTTGGTGGTAGTCCTTATGTGCCAAGGGTTCTTTGCAAATCTCAATCAAATAGTTTAAAAATTCATATTTACACTAAGGAAAAAAATGGCAGGTGAAATGGATAAATAACATTCTAGAAATTTGAGAAATGTCTCTTCTAACCTTAATTTTATGAGCATTAAGATAAATAAAATAAAGCAGCAAAGAAAAAATATTGTTGGCTTTTTCAATTTAGGAATAATATTATCATGCAATTTTATAAAATCATGTGCTTTCCATTTAAATGTGAAGAAATACAGCACATTTCATTCTTAACCTTCTTTGTTTTTGTTTAATATTTGTCATTGCTGATTAGGTACATTATTAAAGACCACTCACTTACTGAACATCATTCAAGCATTATGGCATTACTTGTTGCTCATCTGTTTTTTTTGTTTGTTTGTTTTTCCATCTCACTCTGTTGCTCAGGCTGGAGTTCAGTGGCACAATCTTGGCTCACTGCAAACTCCACCTCCTGGGTTCAAGCAATTCTCCTGCCTCAGCCTCCTAAGAAACTGGTATTACAGGTATGGACCATGATGCCTGGCTAATTTTTGTATTTTTAGTAGTGACGGGGTTTCACCATGTTGCTCAGGCTGGTCTTGAACTCCTGACCTCAAGCAATTCACCTGCCTTGGCCTCCCAAAGTGCTGGGATTACAGATGCAAGTCACCGATCCCAGCCTATGTCTTGCTCATCAGTTCTAAAATTATATGTATTCTACTGAATGGGCAAAAGCTGTAAGCATTCCCCTTGAAAACTGGTTGATATGGTTTGGCTCTTTGTCCCCACCCAAATCTTACATTGAATTATAATCCCCAATGTTGGAGATGGGGCCTGGGGAGAGGTGATTTGATCATGGGGGTGGTTTCTAATGGGGGTGGTTTCTAATGGTTTAGCACCATCTCCCTAGTGCTGTCTTGAGATAGAGTTCTCACAAAATCTGTTTGTTTAAAAGTCTGTAGCACCTCCCTCTGTGCTCTCTCTCTCTCTCTCTCCTGCTCCTCCATGTGAAGATGTGCCTACTTCCCCTACACCTGCTGTCATTATTGTGTTTTCTGAGGCCTCCCTAGCCATGCTTCCTATCCAGCCTGTGGAACTGTGAGTCAATTACCCCTTTTTTCTTAACAAATTACTGAGTCTCAGTTATTCCTTGTAGCAATGCGAGAATGAAGTAATACACCAGTACAAGATAAGGATGCTTTCTCTCACCACTTCTATTTAGCATAGTACTGGAAGTCCTGGCCAGAGCAATCAGGTAATAGAAAGAAATAAAAGGCATCTACATAGGAAGAGATGTAATCAAACTATTCCTGTTTGTGAACAATAGGATTCTATACCTAGATAACCCCTTAGTCTCTGCCCAAAATCTCCTTGATCTGATAGACAACTTCAGCCAAGTTTCAGGATACACAATCCATATACAAAAATCAGTAGTATTCCTATACACCAACAGCATCCAAACTGACAGCCAAATCAAGAATGCAATACCATTCACAATAGCCGCAAAAATAATAAAATATCTAGAAAACATGGCTAACCAATGAAGTGAAAGACCTCTACAATGAGAATTACAAAACACTGCTCATAGAAATCAGAGATGACACAAACAAATATAAAAACATCCTATGCTGATGGATAAGGAGAATCAATATTTTTAAAATGGTCATACTATCCAAAGCAGTTTACAGATTCCATGCTATTCCTATGAAACTACTAAGGACATTCTTCACAGAACTAGAAAAAATATTTTAAAATTCAGGTTAAACCAAAAAAGAGCTCAAATAGCTAAGACAATCCTAAGCAAAAAGAACAAAGCTGGAGGCATCACATTACCCAACTTCAAACTATACTAAAAGGTTACAATAATCAACACAGCATGGCATGGTACAAAAACAGACATATAGACCAATATAACAGAATAGAGAGTCCAGAAATAATGCCACACACCTACAACTAACTGATCTTCAACAAAGTTGACAAAAAACAAGCAACGTAGAAATGACTCCCTATTCAATAAATCGTGATGGGATAACTGGCTAACTATGAAGAAGATTGGAATGGGATGCCTCCCTTAAACCATAGATAAAAATGAACTTGAGATGGATTAAAGACTTAAATGTACAACCTCAAACTATAGAAACCCTGAAAGATAACCTAGAAAATAACATTTGAGACATAGAACTGAGAATTATTTCATGATGAAGAACCCAAAAGTAATTGTAACCAAAACAAAAATTGAGAAATATAAACTTATTTAACTAAAGAGCTTCTGCACAGCCAAAGAAACTATCAACAAAGTAAACAGACAATCTACAGAATGAGAGAAAATATTTACAAACTATGCATCTGATGAAGTTCTAATATCGAGAATCTATAAGAAACTTAAATCAACACACATAAATAAACAACCACATTAAAAAGAGGGCAAAGGACATGAACAGAAACTTTTCAAAAGAAGACATACATGTGACTGAGAAACAAATAAAAATATGCTCATCATCACTAATCATCAGAGAAATGCAAATGAAAACCGCAGTGAGATACAATCTCACACCTGTCAGAATGGCTATTTTAAAAAATCGAAAAATAACAGATGCTGGTGAGTTTGTAGAGGAAAGTGAACACAATACTGCTGAGGGGAGTGTAAATTATTTCAGCTGTTGTGGAAAGCATTTTAGTGATTTCTCAAAGATCTCAAAGCAGAATTACCATTCAACCAAGCAATTCTGCCCTCTGATATATACCCAAAGGAATACAAGTCGTTCTACAATAAAGACATGTGCATAAAGACACATGCACACATATGTTCTCTGCAGCACTATTCACAATAGCAGAGACATGAAAACATCCTAAATGCCCATCAAAAGACTGGCCAGATTTTTAAAAATGTGGTACATATACATCATGGAATAATATGCAGACATAAAAAAAGAATAATATCATGTTCCTTGCAGCAACATGGATGGAGCTAGAGGACATTATTCTAAGCAAAGTAACACAGGAACAGAAAACCAAATATCACACGTTCTCATGTATAAGTGGGAGGTATACATTGAGTACATATGGACACAAAATAGAGAACAATAGGGGCCTACTTCAGGGTGAAGGTTAGGAGGAGGGTGAAGATTAAAAGAAACTCCCTGTTGGGTACTATGCTTATTACCTGGGTAGCAAAATAATCTGTACACCAAACCCCTGTGGCATGCAATTTACCTATATAACAATCCTGTATATGTACCCCTAAACATAAACTGAAATTTGAAAAAATATATGTTTACAAAAATCATTGTAATTACTAATAGCTGTAATGTTCTTAACACAAAGAGTGGCACCAAAATAAGCAACCAATAAATATTAATTGTTTTGGTTGTTGCTCTTATTATCAAACTGACTCATTCCCAGGTCCCTTCCGTGACTATTCTTCATAGTTTTAATTTCTTCTTGTCTTTTCTTTCTACCTATAATCTCCTGTCAGTAAGTTCACCCCCATGGCATCAACAACCCATGCTGATTTTTCAGTCAGACATCTGCTGTTTTCCATTCCCATATATCCAAACACCTAAAAGCAACTCACATTTAACATAACTAGTATTTATAATTTAATTCAAAATTCCTCCTTACAAGTCCCATCAACCTTCTGGAAGACTAATAACCCTTTCCTCTCCCTTCCATTTGGATTGCATTGAGTTTTTCAGAAATATCAAACAATTTGCAGTTTATTTTTTATTCCAAACTTTAAATTAGCTACACCACATGGCTGGGAAAAAAAATGTCTTCATTTGTTTCACCAGGAGCATTTCTACATTTTTCCTTATATTCTTCTATGTGCCCACAGATGTGTGGACACATTCCATCCTAATACATTTAAAAATGTATATTTTAAGTGGTTACCCAATAACTGTCTAGTAACCAGATATTAACCTGCTTGTATCTGAAACTTGAGCACCAAGATCCAAATTATGCTTCCAAAAATACTTCTTAAGAAATGGATGAAAAATATGGAGTTGATCATCAGCACCGATAAAATGTTATACTTCTTAGACAACATCAAAGAAGAAAGGATTTGCACATCTGCCTTATGACATTATAATTAGTAGCTATGCATAAAATTATGCATAATTGTGGTATGACATTAGACATTAAAGATGGGGACATGAATATGTCTTTATTGGAGGTTATTAAGCCACATTATGCATGGCTCATGCAATCCCAAATCCAGCTTTCACTTTTCCATACCAACTAAAGCTCCTTTTTCTCCCCCAAGCTGGCTGTATGCCCAGGTTATCCGATAAATTTCTCAAACTTTCTTGGATAACTAGGGTTATCCAAGTGAAACAGTTCTGGCCCACTAAACAAAAGTTTAAGGTTTCTGAGAATATTTTGCTTTTCACCACTTCTGGCTTGTTGTTTCTTTTTTTCTTTTTCCTAAGTGGCATATAGAAAAAAAGGATGAAATAGCTGAACTGTCTTTATGTACATTTCACAGTTATGAAACACCTATTAAGACTATAGTAGCTGAAAGACAGAAGATGAATGGGATATTAAGACATGTCCCAGCCTTGGGTCACCTACCTTCAAACATGGTAAGTGAAAAAAAAAATCCGGGGGAGGAGCCAAGATGGCCGAATAGGAACAGCTCGGGTCTACAGCTCCCAGCGTAAGTGACGCAGAAGATGGGTGATTTCTGCATTTCCATCTGAGGTACCAGGTTCATCTCACTAGGGAGTGCCAGACAGTGGGCGCAGGTCAGTGGGTGTGCGCACCGTGCGCGAGCCGAAGCAGGGCGAGGCATTGCCTCACTTGGGAAGAGCAAGGGGTCAGGGAGTTCCCTTTCCGAGTCAAAGAAAGGGGTGACGGACGCACCTGGAAAATCGAGTCACTCCCACCTGAATACTGCGCTTTTCCGACTGGCTTAAAAAACGGCGCACCACAAGATTATATCCCGCACCTGGCTCGGAGGGTCCTATGCCCATGGAGTCTCGGTGATTGCTAGCACAGCAGTCTGAGATCAAACTGCAAGGCGGCAGCAAGGCTAGGGGAGGGGCGCCCGCCATTGCCCAGGCTTGCTTAGGTAAACAAAGCAGCCAGGAAGCTCCAACTGGATGGAGCCCACCACAGCTCAAGGAGGCCTGCCTGCCTCTGTAGGCTCCACCTCTGGGGGCAGGGCACAGACAAAAAGCAGTAACCTCTGCAGACTTAAATGTCCCTGTCTGACAGCTTTGAAGAGAGTAGTGGTTCTCCCAGCACGCAGCTGGAGATCTGAGAGCGGGCAGACTGCCTCCTCAAGTGGGTCCCTGACCCCTGACCCCCAAGCAGCCTAACTGGGAGGCACCCCCCAGCAGGGGCACACTGACACCTAACACGGCAGGGTATTCCAACAGACCTGCAGCTGAGGGTCCTGTCTGTTAGAAGGAAAACTAACAATCAGAAAGGGCATCCACACCAAAAACCCATACATCACCATCATCAAAGACGAAAAGTAGATAAAACCACAAAAATGGGGAAAAAACAGAACAGAAAAACTGGAAACTCTAAAAAGCAGAGCTCCTCTCCTCCTCCAAAGGAACGCAGTTCCTCACCAGCAACGGAACAAAGCTGGATGGAGAATGAATTTGACGAGCTGAGAGAAGAAGGCTTCAGACGATCAAATTACTCTGAGCTACGGGAGGACATTCAAACCAAAGGCAAAGAAGTTGAAAACTTTGAAAAAAGTTTAGAAGAATGTATAACTAGAATAACCAATACAGAGAAGTGCTTAAAGGAGCTGATGGAGCTGAAAACCAAGGCCCAGGAACTACGTGAAGAATGCAGAAGCCTCAGGAGCCAATGTGATCAACTGGAAAAAAGGGTATCAGCAATGGAAGATGAAATGAATGAAATGAAGCGAGAAGGGAAGTTTAGAGAAAAAAGAATAAAAAGAAATGAGCAAAGCCTCCAAGAAATATGGGACTATGTGAAAAGACCAAATCTATGTCTGATTGGTATACCTGAAAGTGATGGGGAGAATGGAACCAAGTTGGAAAACACTCTGCAGCATATTATCCAGGAGAACTTCCCCAATCTAGCAAGGCAGGCCAACGTTCAGATTCAGGAAATAGAGAGAACACCACAAAGATACTCCTCAAGAAAAGCAACTCCAAGACACATAATTGTCAGATTCACCAAAGTTGAAATGAAGGAAAAAATGTTAAGGGCAGCCAGAGAGAAAGGTCGGGTTACCCTCAAAGGGAAGCCCATCAGAGTAACAGCGGATCTCTCAGCAGAAACCCTACAAGCCAGAAGAGAGTGGGGGCCAATATTCAACATTCTTAAAGAAAAGGATTTTCAACCCAGAATTTCATATCCAGCCAAACTAAGCTTCATAAGTGAAGGATAAATAAAATACTTTACAGACAAGCAAATGCTGACAGATTTCTGTCACCACCAGGCCTGCCCTAAAAGAGCTCCTGAAGGAAACGCTACACATGGAAAGGAACAACCAGTACCAGCCGCTGCAAAATCATGCCAAAATGTAAAGACCATCGAGACTAGGAAGAAACTGCATCAACTAACGAGCAAAATAACAAGCTAACATCACAATGACAGGATCAAATTCACACATAACAATATTAACTTTAAATGTAAATGGACTAAATGCTCCAGTTAAAAGACACACACTGACAAATTGGATAAAGAGTCAAGACCCATCAGTGTGCTGTATTCAGGAAACCCATCTCACGTGCAGAGACACACATAGGCTCAAAATGAAGGGATGGAGGAAGATCTACCAAGCAAATGGAAAACACAAAAAGGCAGGGGTTGCAATCCTAGTCTCTGATAAAACAGACTTTAAACCAACAAAGATCAAAAGAGACAAAGAAGGCCGTTACATAATGGTAAAGGGATCAATTCAACAAGAAGAGCTAACTATCCTAAATATATATGCACCCAATACAGGAGCACCCAGATTCATAAAGCAAGTCCTGAGTGACCTACAAAGAGACTTAGACTCCCACACATTAATAATGGGAGACTTTAACACCCCACTGTCAACATTAGACAGATCAACGAGACAGAAAGTCAACAAGGATACCCGGGAATTGAACTCAGCTCTGCACCAAGCAGACCTAATAGACATCTACAGAACTCTCCACCCCAAATCACCAGAATATACATTTTTTTTCAGCACCACACCACACCTATTCCAAAATTGACCACATACTTGGAAGTAAAGCTCTCCTCAGCAAATGTAAAAGAACAGAGATTATAACAAACTATCTCTCAGACCACAGTGCAATCAAACTAGAACTCAGGATTAAGAATCTCACTTAAAACCGCTCAACTACATGGAAACTGAACAACCTGCTCCTGAATGACTACTGGGTACATAACGAAATGAAGGCAGAAATAAAGATGTTCTTTGAAACCAACGAGAACAAAGACACAACATACCAGAATCTCTGGGACGCATTCAAAGCAGTGTGTGGAGGGAAATTTATAGCACTAAATGCCCACAAGAGAAAGCAGGAAAGATCCAAAATTGACACCCTAACATCACAATTAAAAGAACTAGAAAAGCAAGAGCAAACACATTCAAAAGCGAGCAGAAGGCAAGAAATAACTAAAATCAGAGCAGAACTGAAGGAAATAGAGACACAAAAAACCCTTCAAAAAATTAGTGAATCCAGGAGCTGGTTTTTTGAAAGGATCAACAAAATTGATAGACTGCTAGCAAGACTAATGAAGAAAAAAAGAGAGAAGAATCAAATAGACACAATAAAAAATGATAAAGGGGATATCACCACTGATCCCACAGAAATACAAACTACCATCAAAGAATACTACAAACACCTCTACGCAAATAAACTAGAAAATCTAGAAGAAATGGATAAATTCCTCGACACATACACACTCCCAAGACTAAACCAGGAAGAAGTTGAATCTCTGAATAGACCAATAACAGGATCTGAAATTGTGGCAGTAATCAATAGCTTACCAACCAAAAAGAGTCGAGGACCAGATGGATTCATAGCTGAATTCTACCAGAGGTACAAGGAGGAACTGGTACCATTCCTTCTGAAACTATTCCAATCAATAGAAAAAGAGGGAATCCTCCCTAACTCATTTTATGAGGCCAGCATCATTCTGATACCAAAGCTGGGCAGAGACACAACCAAAAAAGAGAATTTTAGACCAATATCCTTGATGAACATCGATGTAAAAATCCTCAATAAAATACTGGCAAACTGAATCCAGCAGCACATCAAAAAGCTTATCCACCATGATCAAGTGGGCTTCATCCCTAGGATGCAAGGCTGGTTCAATATATGCAAATCAATAAATGTAATCCAGCATATAAACAGAGCCAAAGACAAAAACCACATGATTATCTCAATAGGTGCAGAAAAAGCCTTTGATAAAATTCAACAACCCTTCATGCTAAAAACTCTCAATAAATTAGGTATTGATGGGACGTATTTCAAAATAATAAGAGCTATCTATGACAAACCCACAGCCAATATCATACTGAATGGGCAAAAACTGGAAGCATTCCCTTTGAAAAATGGCACAAGACAGGGATGCCCTCTCTCACCACTCCTATTCAACATAGTGTTGGAAGTTCTGGCCAGGGCAATTAGGCAGGAGAAGGAAATAAAGGGTATTCAATTAGGAAAAGAGGAAGTCAAATTGTCCCTGTTTGCAGACGACATGATTGTATATCTAGAAAACCCCATTGTCTCAGCCCAAAATCTCCTTAAGCTGATAAGCAACTTTAGCAAAGTCTCAGGATACAAAATCAATGTACCAAAATCACAAGCATTCTTATACACCAACAACAGACAAACAGAGAGCCAAATCATGAGTGAACTCCCATTCACAATTGCTTCAAAGAGAATAAAATACCTAGGAATCCAACTTACAAGGGATGTGAAGGACCTCTTCAAGGACAACTACAAACCACTGCTCAAGGAAATAAAAGAGGATACAAACAAATGGAAGAACATTCCATGCTCCTGGGTAGGAAGAATCAATATCGTGAAAATGGCCATACTGCCCAAGGTAATTTACAGATTCAATGCCATCCCCATCAAGCTACGAATGCCTTTCTTCACAGAACTGGAAAAAACTACTTTAAAGTTCATATGGAACCAAAAAAAGAGCCCGCATCGCCAAGTCAATCCTAAGCCAAAAGAACAAAGCTGGAGGTATCATGCTACCTGACTTCAAACTATACTACGAGGCTACAGTAACCAAAACAGCATGGTACTGGTACCAAAACAGAGATATAGATCAATGGAACAGAACAGAGCCCTCAAAAATAATGCCGCATATCTACACCTATCTGATCTTTGACAAACCTGAGAAAAACAAGCAATGGGGAAAGGATTCCCTATTTAATAAATTGTGCTGGGAAAACTGGCTAGCCATATGTAGAAAGCTGAAACTGGATCCCTTCCTTACACCTTATACAAAAATCAATTCAAGATGGATTAAAGACTTAAACGTTAGACTTAAAACCATAAAAACCCTAGAAGAAAATCTAGGCATTACCATTCAGGACATAGGCATGGCCAAGGACTTCATGTCTAAAACACCAAAAGCAAAGGCAACAAAAGCCAAAATTGACAAATGGGATCTAATTAAACTAAAGAGCTTCTGCACAGCAAAAGAAACTACCATCAGAGTGAACAGGCAACCTACAGAATGGGAGAAAATTTTTGCAATCTACTCATCTGACAAAGGGCTAATATCCAGAATCTACAATGAACTCAAACAAATTTACAAGAAAAAAACAAACAACCCCATCAAAAAGTGGGCGAAGGACATGAACAGACACTTCTCAAAAGAAGACATTTATGCAGCCAAAAAACACATGAAAAAATGCTCATCATCACTGCCCATCAGAGAAATGCAAATCAAATACCATCTCACACCAGTTAGAATGGCGATCATTAAAAAGTCAGGAAACAACAGGTGCTGGAGAGGATGTGGAGAAATATGAACACTTTTACACTGTTGGTGGGACTGTAAACTAGTTCAACCATTGTGGAAGTCAGTGTGGCGATTCCTCAGGGATCTAGAACTAGAAATACCATTTGACCCAGCCATCCCATTAATGGGTATATACCCAAAGGACTATAAATCATGCTGCTATAAAGACACATGCACACGTATGTTTATTGCGGCATTATTCACAATAGCAAAGACTTGGAACCAACCCAAATGTCCAACAATGATAGACTGGATTAAGAAAATGTGGTACATATACACCATGGAATACTATGCAGCCATAAAAAATTATGAGTTCATGTCCTTTGTAGGGACATGGATGAAATTGGAAATCATCATTCTCAGTAAACTATCGCAAGAACAAAAAACGAAACACCGCATATTCTCACTCATAGGTGGGAATTGAACAATGAGATCACATGGACACAGGAAGGGGAATATCACACTCTGGGGACTGTGGTGGGGTGGGGGGAGGGGGGAGGGATAGCATTGGGAGATATACCTAATGCTAGATGACGAGTTAGTGGGTGCAGCGCACCAGCATGTCACATGTATACATATGTAACTAACCTGCACAATGTGCACATGTACCCTAAAACTTAAAGTATAATTAAAAAAAAAAAGAAAAAAAAAACCCCCAAAAAAAAGAAAAAAAAATCCACTTTTGATTAAGCCACTCTAGTCAGTGGTTTGTTATATATGTAGCTGAATAGACCCTTTAAAAATTCAAAATATTATAAACTGAATTAACTCACTTTAGCAATATTTCAAAATATTTGGAGATATTAAATGTGGGGACTGTATTTTCTACATTTATTAGAAATTAAGCAAATTCTAATATAATTAATAAACACTAAAGTTTGTTTTATATATTATATATTATATTTAGCATGCCTGAAAACAAACTAAATTCACAATCCCTTCTTAAGTAAATGATCAAATTTAAATCTTGCAAAATTAAATTAGAAACATTATTTTTGAAGTAGTTGTAAAATTCCCTAATAAACAGGAAGCTATATCTGACTAGGTACAACTATTGTCTTTTGCAAATGCTTGCTTAAGTCTCTAGAGTTTTAAACATTTCTTGTATACAAAACATATTTCTCTGTTTTGGTAACTTCAAGAAAATATAAACTAGTTATCAAAAATCCAAATAATTCCGTCATGAAACTATATAGATTTTTGCACATTTTTAATTAAAAATATAAGTACAGAAATGTATAACATATACATATTTCTGTTGATACTCATAATTATATGCATCTTGTTTAAGCGTTATGTTTCAAAATTATTTCTCCCTTTAAAGACTTGATAACTTTCTAGCCACCAAGATTTAGTATTTTGTATCTACTTCCTTGTTCTCATCATGTTCAAATGCCTGACACTTTTCTCAGAATTCTTTCATTCCCTCATCAACTTATTAAAGCAATTCTGAGATATTTTCTCTGTTGAGCCCAACAGCTTTAGTATAACAACATTTACATTTGCATTCATATCTTACATTAATCTATACTTGAATTTTTTTTGCATGTTCTTTTACTATGCTTTCTTGTTGCGTAGATACTCCTTTAAGACAGGTCTCATATGCCTTTCTTTATTTTCCATCCTCTAGGTAAAAATATTCTGTAAACTTAAAACATATATAAAAGTGAATTTTAGATTCTAGAGAAAATGAACATCTATATAAAGGAAACATAGATGTTGAGATTGAGAATCACCTTTTTTCTGATAATAGCATTATTCCCAAAAGGGTGCAGAGCAAAGGGTTTTCCCCAGGCTTTAAATAGAATTTGTAGTTTTCTCTTGCTGGATAAAAAAATTACCACAAATTTAGCAGCTGGATGCAGCACTCATTTATTATCTCATAATTGTATATGTAAAACATCCATGTAGAACATGGCACAACTGTGTACTCTGCTTAGAGTATCATTCAGCTGCAATCAAAATGTCAGCAAAGCTGTGTCCCTTTTAGGAGGTTCTAGATTCACAGCCAAGGTCATTTAGGTTGCTGGCTGAATTCAGCTTCTTCTTGTGCTCATAGGACCCCATTTTAATGCCAGTGGTTAGGTAGAGTCCAACCTTTGCTCCTACGAGCTGCCACATTTATTCTCATGCTTCGTCTGTGGCCCATGTCCAGCAGGTTACATCTCTTTCATATTTGTAACCACTGTGACTTCTTTTGCTACACCTCTTTTGACTCCAGCCAGAGAAAATGCTCAGTTTTAAAAGGCTCATGTGATTAGACTGGGGTCACATAGATAATCCAGGATATTCTCCTTATATGAAAGTCCATAACCTTAGTTATGTCTTTTAAATCCCTTTTAAAGTGTAAGGTAACATAATCACAATTTCCAAGGATTAAAATTCGACACGGGCATGGTGGCGGAGGGCAGTGGGGGACATTATTGAGCCTGTCATTCTCACCCATGAGAAATATCTGACCACCAGAAACACGCCAGTAGTTAAATAAATTGGATTTATCATGTGACAGATAACACATACTGTGATGAACCAAGGGGTGTCTAAGTAAGAAAGCGTTAGAAAGAAGCTATTATAGGATTTAGGGGCTGTTGTGTAAATTTGGGGAGAGTCTAGAAAAGCAAGGGTTTACTCTAGATTGGATGCTATCAGAAAGAGGGGACAATTCTGTGATAGGCCATCACAATAAATCTTATCCACAGAAATCGGAGACGAGAACAAGAATTAAGCTGTAATTAGTTAAGAAATAGCAGTCGGGGCTGGGCACAGTTGTTCACACCTGTAATGCCAGCATTTTGGGAGGCCTAGGGGGGCAGATCACCTGAGGTCGGGAGTTCGAGACCAGCCTGATCAACATGGAGAAAACCTGTCTCTACTAAAACCATAAAAATTAGCTGGGTGCATGCCTGTAATCCCGGCTACTCGGGAGGCTGAGGCAGGAGAATTGCTTGAACCCAAGAGGCGTAGGTTGCGGTGAGCCGAGATCACGCCATTGCATTCCAGCCTGGGCAACAAGAGTGAAACTCTGTCTCAAAAAAAGAAAAAAAAGAAATAGCAGTCATTCATTTTGCCAAGGAGGGGGTGGTATTTTTAATTTTGGAGGGTTTATGATAATCTTGTTTTCATTGTTACATGAAAATATGCAATGGCCCCTATTTGTCTCATTTTATCCTTGTGTCAGAGCAAATTTGCCTGAGGCTGACGCTGTTTGAGATAGTTTATATGAAATAGAAAAATAGCATGGCTAAAATATAAGTGCCGGCCCATCTACCGAATATCAGGGGGTATTGTTTTTTTTTTTTTTTTTTGTACCTTTCTTAATTCTGCTGTGGTGAATATCCACTCCTTATGTACCCAGCGATTTCCTGAGACATGGTATTGAACAGTGATCCAATTAGTTTTGTACATGGTCCAAGCCAAACGATTGCCTAGACCTGTTCCCTGTTAAGCCAGTATCTGAATGGACAGTCTAATTTCATTTAGAAAGTCTTTAAACATAATGCTAGTGTTGGCCAATCAACCAAATGTCTGCTGAGGAAAATACTTTGCATGAATAATTCCTAAAAATAATTCAAGAATATTTTATCCAGTCTCAATTGCAAAAGTACTGGATCATTTAATCTATATTTTTGCACTGACTTTCACAAAAATTGTTACACTATTGATAAAGGATGTATTGATATCTGTCATCTTCTAATCAATTACCTTAAAATACCCATAGATAGATGTAGGCTAAATGTTAACACTGGAAACATTCAATCATAATAGGATAAAGAACTTAAAGGCTTTTCTTCCTATTGTAAGGAATATTATATTACACATATATTGAAAATTGTGTATTCCGTGGTGTATATGTGCCACATTTTCTTAATCCAGTCTATAATTGTTAGACATTTGGGTTGGTTCCATGTCTTTGCTATTGTCAATAGTGCCACAATAAACATATGTGTGCATGTGTCTTTATAGAAGCATGATTTATAGTCCTTTGGGTATATACCCATTAATGGGATGGCTGGGTCAAATGGTATGCCAGATCTCATTTAAATGGCAATTGGCAGAGTATATGGATCTCTTGCCATCACAAAATAATCATTGTTATTATCATTTCAATTATTGAAAGAAAAGTGTAATGAGATTTAAAGTATGCTTATTTAATGTTAGAGAGGATGCTAAAGCAAATACCACAATTTTAAAATTATGTGAAGCCTGACTTCAAAGAGTTCACAAATCTTCACTGAGATTCTAAATGATCACATAAGGAATTAAATGCAAAATAATACTCTAAACATTCTTCAGGGGATGATATTTTGTTTTAATGTGTCCCATTGGGTAAGGAATTACTTTTAATGTAACAACAGGGGTAAAACAGTCGCTGTGGAAGTCACTTAAAATTCTGTGTATTTCTTCCTTGGTGAAGTAATCAAGGATTTAAGGTAACTGCTGAGGAGGATGGGAGGGAAAGTGTTTTTCTGGCTCTTGTTAACAATGAATTTTACTATAACTTGTGCCTGTAAATAAGAAAGTAAATCTTAAGAGCTTGAGGTTAAAACAGGTAATATCTAAATATTAGGTCTACAATTAAGATTAATTACAGGTTTTTCCGCCTCTATTAACATGTCTCTGGCTTGGCAAAAGCCATAGCCAAAAAGGAAATGGGCTATAAAATCTATCTAAAGTGATATAAATGCTGCATCAATGACTGAGAGCCAAAATTAAGAACAAGGGTGATAACAACCTGCTAATGTGAGCATGTCAAGGAGTAAAACAGGCATCTAATCAAGAGAATGGACCCTCTGAATGTGATCATATTCTTCCTGATATTTTTCATATATTTCCCCACCTATCCAGAATATGGATGCCATCATTTCCACATGCAATGTCAGTAATAAAAAGCAAATTTTACTAATTGTTAGTCTTATTCTCTGTTCTTTCCATTTGTATTAAATTATGATTCCTGGATTTTATATATTAAGTGCATATATATATATGCTTTATATATAAATGCTGTTTATATATAAAGTTTCATATATACATAACGTTTTAATATATATTTTTTATTATACTTTAAGTTCTGGGGTACGTGTGCACAACTTGCAGGTTTGTTACATTTGTATACATGTGCCATGTTGGTGTGCTGCACCCATTAACTTGTCATTTACATTAAGTATATATCCTAATGCTATCCCTCCCCACTCCCCCAACCCCACAACAGGCCCCGGTGTGTGATGTTCCCCTTCCTGCATCCAAGTGTTCTCATTGTTCAATTCCCACCTATGAGTGAGAACATGCAGTGTTTGTTTTTTGTCCTTGTGATAGTTTACTGAGAATGATGGTTTCCAGCTTCATCCATGTCCCTACAAAGGACAAAACTCATCATTTTTTATGGCTGCATAGTATTTCATGGTGTATATGTACCACATTTTCTTAATCCAGTCTATCATTGTTGGACATTTGGGTTGGTTCCATGTCTTTGCTATTGTGAATAGTGCCACAATAAACATATGTGTGCATGTGTCTTTATAGGAGCATGATTTATAGTCCTTTGGGTATATACCCATTAATGGGATGGCTGGGTCAAATGGTATTTCTAGTTCTAGATCCTTGAGGAATGGCCACACTGTCTTCCACAATGGTTGAACTAGTTTACAGTCCCACCAACAGTGTAAAAATGTTCCTATTTCTCCACATCCTCTCCAGCATCTGTTGTTTCCTGACTTTTTAATGATTGCTATTCTAACTGGTGTGAGATGGTATCTCATTGTGGTTTTGATTTGCATTTCTCTGATGGCCAGTGATGGTGAGCATTTTTTCATGTGTTTTTTAGCTGCATAAATGTCTTCTTTTGAGAAGTGTCTGTTCATGTCCTTCGCCCACTTTTTGATGGGGTTGTTTTTTTCTTGTAAATTTGTTTGAGTTCATTGTAGATTCTGGATATTAGCCCTTTGTCAGATGAGTAGATTGCAAAAATTTTCTCCCATTCTGTAGGTTGCCTGTTCACTCTGATGGTAGTTTCTTTTGCTGTGCAGAAGCTCTTTAGTTTAATTAGATCCCATTTGTCAATTTTGGCTTTTGTTGCCATTACTCTTGGTGTTTTAGACATGAAGTCCTTGCTCATGCCTATGTCCTGAATAGTATTGCCTAGGTTTTCTTCTAGGGTTTTTATGGTTTTAGGTCTAACATGTAAGTCTTTAATCCATCTTGAATTAATTTTTGTATAAGGTGTAAGGAAGGGATCCAGTTTCAGCTTTCTACATATGGCTAGCCAGTTTTCCCAGCACCATTTGTTAAATAGGGAATCCTTTCCCCATTTCTTGTTTTTGTCAGGTTTGTCAAAGATCAGATAGTTGTAGATGTGTGGTATTATTTCTGAGGGCTCTGTTCTGTTCCATTGGTCTATCTCTCTGTTTTGGTACCAGTACCATGCTGTTTTGGTTACTGTAGCCTTGTAGTTATATACATAACTTTTAACTTTTTAAAACAAATGTGAAAGTAAATTTTATCTAAATTTTGTTGAAAATAGTTTTTTGTCTTTGTCAACTAGAATCTGAAGAATCTAGGATTAATGTAACATACATTTCCAGCAGAGCTCAAACAATCTTGCTCTAGCTCTTAAAACAGCTATTAGTAAGCATTGAAGGGAATCCCTTCTACAGATATCTCTTCCTCCAATGACACCAATTAGATGGCATTATATTTAATATGCATTAAAATATGAATGACCAATCAGAGACATCTTTTAGAGAATTTTTAAGTTTAACTTTCAACTGAGATCAGTGATCATCAAAAACTAGGAGTTTTGATATGAATAGCAGTGAATAGAGATCTTAGGGAGAAAAAGTGCAACTTTGGTGACATTTGTATTTCCTAGAACGGTTTAAGGGTACTCTGTCCAGTGGATTTAAGAATAATGTTAGAAAGGAACAAGGCTTGTTTTAAGATATAAGAGGCTAAAATCTCTAAGCTACTTACCTTGGCAGTAGCCAATATACTATTAATAATTGACAGTTTATTTATTGATGTTGATGTTTAGACATCAGGACTCTGAGAGACTTAAATCTCTGATTGCAAACAAATTAGTCTCCTTGAGCAAGGTTAACTCCATATACTTCAGCAGTTAAATTAGGTGTTTATTTGTCAAAGCCACTTCCTCCTTTGACATAAATTACTCTCAACTTTGAAATGAAAAGCAAAGTAAAAGACAAAAGTGAGCAGTAAAATTTATTTATATTCCAAGGAGCTATTTTAAGCTTTACCTCAGAGTCACTCTGATTGGTGTTAAATTTCCCGGGGTGAATACTGATTACCCCAAACAAACAATTTCCCTATAGATGATGGGTACTAGAGGAAAAGCTCTTGATGTGAAAAGAAAGACTTAAAAGGATTTAAGTAAAGACATGGAAAACTTTTGCAGTTTGTTTAGAAATCATGAGTAGAGCCAGTCTAATGAACCAACAGGCAGAAGAGCATAACAAACACAGGTGGACCCTTGACTAAAGCTTTGCATTAAAGAACTCTGGAGCTACCCTCCATTAGGACTCTCTCTTGTATGAACTAGTAAAATTTGCCTATTTTAAAAATATTTGCTAAAGAGTATTGCTATTTGTATCTGAAAGCATCCTAATCTAACTTGTTCCTCTTCACTATTATTATTTCTGAGGAACTTTATTAAATGCTGTTTATCTCATCCACATAAATATGTACCCCAAAATTTTGAAAAATAAAATCATGAACAGAGAAGAGAAAAAATAATGAATTGAAAGTTATCAGGAAAGTCTTTAGGTAGAATATAAGGCTTAAGGATTGTGTTTGATAGATTAGACTGTACGGAGAAAATGAAAGAATAAAGAAGATATATATGTGTCTGAAAACCCTGACTTGATAATTCCATGATAGTACACTTCAAGTATATTGCTTATATGTCAATATTGCCTATTTTTATGTACTAAAATAATTATCAATGATCTCTGTTACTCTTATTTGGTATTTCAAAGCTTCTAAAAGGTTGAAGTTTTGTTTATTCTGTAGGGTATAAAACATTTACTGTGTTATAAATTGTCATCTAGATTTTCACACTAATAATGATACTTATTTGATATTCAAAGCTTATTTGCTATTTGGTATTTCAAAGCTTCTAAAAGGTTGAAGTTTTGTTTATTCCATAGGGCATAAAACATTTATTGTGTTATAAATTATCATCTAGATTTTCACACTAGTAATGATACTCTGTTTCAAGTCAATGTTAATTAAAGCAAAAATATAATGCTAAGTACATTTTGTGAACACAGATACTAAACTCCATTGATTATATCATAGAAAAAAATCTCAGTAGTCATGAGAACACTAGAGAAGAAATAGAAAGATGCTCTATTTATGGATATTTTAGTAAGTTTTCAAAAGAAATAAAAATTTGAGAGATTTAAAAAAATCTGAGAAACCAGGCAACATATGATTTTGAGTTACATTTAAATTTCAGTTATTCAATTTTAGGATTCACTTTTTCTGGTTGTTTTTTCACTGTATATCAGCCCATATCTTAGTATTTTCATAGCTTAGCTTTATATTTATGTATTATAAAAATATTAAATTAACATATTTACAATGAACAGTTTTTAAATTAAGTTTATATTTGCTTGCATAAACATGTGCATTTGTGTTGTAGGACAGGTTTATAGACTTGAATAAATCAGATTACATATAAAGTTAAAACAAGTAGTAATTTATGTAGACATGTCAATGAAAAACATTTCTTTTGTTGAGCTTTTATAATTAAGAGTGAATTCCCTTCTATTAACAATAAAATCAAGTTTAATTTTCATAATTATAGCTGTATTTTGTCACAAAATATAGTAACATAAGATATGGGTTGTTTAGTATAAGTTCATCCTAAATGTTATTAAATCACATTCTAATTGACAAATATTTCTTCTTCATCCAAAATTATCTTCTAAAAATCACTTAAAAATGTATAAATTTCAATATTTTGTTGTATTTATTTATGAGTATTAATGGACTAATATTAATTCCAATCAGCTAACAACAATACATATTTAGTACAAATCAAATTAAGTTGAAAAAGCAAATACAGATGTAATCTCTAACTTACAAGCAATTATATCATTCTTATGATTTACCATATGATTAATGAAACTCAAGAAACACATGAATATTTTTACTTGAACATTACTATATTAATATTAATTATCAACTGCAATTAAAAACCTTCCTGATGAATATTTGCAGTTATTACTTGTATAGATTCTTTTGATATTTTCTTCTGTATGTCATAGTACACTTAATTCCTACACTTTTATCCTAATGTGTTATTTTAATTGTTATAGATATATTCAGATTTACTTTGAAGCAACACAACACCATAAAAAATTAAAAATCTGTAAAGTATTGATTATTTTTCTAGCACTACTAGATCATTTAAAAAAACTGTAGTTACATGTTAGGTCAATTTAGTGTCTTACGTATAATAAATATAGACAAATACATATTGATATAAACAGGAGGGCTTATGGTAATATATATATTTCCATAATATAATAAAAATTTTAATAACACTTAAAATTACTGCACTATACAGAATATTATAATTATGAACAATACAATTTACTCTGTCCTAAACTGTTAAATTTTCTCACTTTTTAATTGTTAAATAATATTTTTATTTCCAACTGATGTTAATATACTGCCACATTTTTTTCCTTTTATATGTTTTGGAAATGTATCTATGTTGATACTGGTAGTTTAAATTTAATTATTTAAAAATATATAGAACATTTTATTTTAAAAAATTATCAATTTTATTTGCTTTGTCTTATTGACCCCTGGGTATTTTAATATTCTTCTCTTTTAGAAATTATACAATAAATATTTTTAAACATGGATAATCATTCCCTTACACAAGAGTTTCTTTATGATTTATATTCAGAAGTGAGATTCTGTGGTTTAGGTTATGGGTGTATTTTTGAATATGGAGGAAAAAACTATCCAATCTGTTATTTTTTCATACATGTGCCTTCATTAAAAAAAGTATTGTATATATTTCAAGTATAGCACATGATGTTCAGTATACATAGGTATTGTAAGATAATTACTACAGGAAAGCAAATTAACATATCCATAGTCTTTTGTAGCTACTGCTTTTTTGTTTGTCAGTGGTAAGAGCACCTAAAATCAATTTACTAGGCAATATTTTCATAAGCAACTAAGGACTATTAACTACAGTCTCCTGCAGTACATTGACTCTCTAGACTTACTCATCCTATATAACTCCAAGTTAGTTCTCTTTTACCTACATTTCTCTCTTTCCTGCTTCTCCCTGCCCCTAGAAACTACCATTCTATTGTTTCTATGTATTTGAAAATTTTTTAGATGTCACATACAAGTGAGATCATGCAGTATTTTTCTTTTTTTGTCTGACTTATTTCACTTAGAATAATGTCTAAAGGTTCTTTCGTGTTTTGTAAATGGTATTATTTCTTTTTTATAAGGCTAATATTGCCTTGTATATCAAATTCACAATTTCTTTATCCATGCATCCATTGATGACCAATTAGTTTTCCATAAAGTATTGATTATTTTGCTATTATCACTGGCTATTGTGAATAATATTGCAGTGAACATGCTAGTGCAAATATCTCTATGAGGTGCTGATTTCATTTCCTTTGGCTATGTACCCGGCAGAGACATTGTTGGGTTATATGGCAGCTCCATTTATAACTTCTTGAGGAACCTCCATACTGCTTTTTGTAATGACTGAATTTCAACAATGTGCAAGGGTTCCCTTTCCTCCACACCCTCACCAACACTTACTATCTTTTGTTTCTTTCATAGTAGCCATTTTAATAGTTGTGAGGTGATGTCTCATTGTGGTTTTAATTTGCATTTCTCTGATGATTAGTGCTATTGAGCACATTTTCATATATCTGTTGGTGATTTGTATGTCTTCTTTGGAAAAATGTCTTTTCAGTTTCTTTGCCCATTTTTTAGTTTGGGTTATTATTTTTGTGCTGTGGAGTTCTGTGAGTTACGTGTATATTTTGGATATTAACCCCTTATCAGAGATACAGTTTGCAAATGTTTTCTTCCAGTCGATAGGCTGCCTTTTCATTTTGATGATTGTTTTCTCTGCTGTGTATAAGCTTTTTTTACTTACATTCTCACACAGTATAAGTTTTAATTATCAAAAATATTTCCTACACTCAAAGAAAATTTGAGGAAAATTTCAATTATGCCTACATGTAAAAACCCTAGATTAATATTTCTAAACTGAATCCCTTTAATCTTGCATACTCTCTTTATATTGAAGCAAAAATTAGATTGAGCTAAAATTCATAAAACAGTATTATTTATTTCCTTCATAACATTATAGATATTGCTTCTCTGAATTCTGATATTTAGTGTTCCTATGGAGAAATATGGGATCAAGCTAATAACACTTTTGTTCCCTCCCTCTATCAATGATATAAACGTGGGTTGAAGATAGGCTTTTTGTATTGTAATGTTTGCATCTTTTTTACAAAACTTCCTTTCTCTGATTGTTTTCTTTTCAATTTTATTTTTTTCTCTCTCTTTCTCGGAACTATTAATTTTGTGCATGCTGGAACTCCTTTGTTTGCATTCTAGTTCTACAGTTTTATTTTTATTTTTATTCATATCTTCTGGTCTCTCTCCAATATTTAGCATGGTTTTCAATAGATATTTTAAACATTAAGTTGGTTTCTTTTGGCTTTCAATCTTATGTTAACATGTATACTAATACTCTTTTTATTATTCTCTTTTATTTCTTTACTAAGCTCTGTCAACTTGTATATTTTTTCTTTAAAAACAAGCCTCATCATTGAGCCATTGCTATTTTCTATACTGTTTTGCTTAGTAATACCATGCTATTCATAATTTTTTTGAGGTATTGGAATTACTAGTTTCTTTAAAAACTCTTTCCGTTATATAAGTTCTTTAACTTTTGTACAGTATATATAATTATATCTTGGAGAATATTACTTTTATGTAAATACAGTCAACAATTTCCTGAAAAGATTTTTTAAGGAGCGTTTAAGAGGAAAAGAGCTGAGAAGTGCCCACAAAAGATTTCTGTTTGCTGTTTGAAATGCTTTCCGATTACATGTGTTATCGCCTTAGCTTAGCAAGAGGACATTTCAAAAGTTGGTGCTGCTCACAGGAAAGCACTAGATCGCTTTGTTTTTCCTGGAAGTCACTGCGTGGCCTTCTTTTTTTTTTTTAATTTAAATTTTTGGCAGGCATACTAGGATGGCAGAAACTACGTTTAAGAATGGTGTATGCTTTTGCTTTGTCTTCTTTTCTCTATCATGTTATATTTTATAATCTGACCAGAATCATAAAACACACCATTCTAATCAGTGGAATTGAAGATGGACTTTCTATGAATAATGATGATTTCTAAAATTATGTGCATCTTGTTGTTTTTACATTATTTTCATATTTGTGTACTTTGTTTTGTTTTGACCCATCTTTTTATATTTTATTGTAACTATCTCAGGATTAGGCAAATATCTCTATAGCTTAGAGTCTCTTTAGCTGTTTATATGTTTTAGGGATGTTTTTCTTTCAGATTTGTTGTGTCTTTTTTATGAGTTTCAAGAGAGATAGATAAAGTAAACATTATTTTAGACAACTATGTTTCATAGAAGTTTCAAATACCAACTTTGAAAATATGTCTTTCCTAAATCCTTGCATTAAGATAGTAGCCTGTAATAAAGCAATGAAGGGAAAATTACTTATATATGCACATGTGCGCATGCACACACACACAGGAAACAAGTGCTATCATACAGTGGCTGTATGCAATAACACTATTACCATGTCTTCCTCAAGATGGAAAGTTCTAATCAAGTTTAATGCCACTGTATATCTTATTAACAAAATAAATTACGATGCGTGGTTGATGCCTAAAAGCTGTAACTAAAGTCATTAAATGAAGTAAGAATTAAACATAAAACATTCAATAGGAAAATACATGCAGCCATGAATTCTGAAGCTATGTGCTTCTACATTTACTTTCCATTTTCAATAGCACAAGCTATATGTGACTGTTATTTGCTCTTACTTCCATGCATCCACAAAGGTAGACAAATATAAATTACTCTTACTCCAAGAGGAGTAGGCAAATTTGCTTCAGGTATTTCAAACTTGGCATATTAGTTTTACATAGTTGAACCATATAAATCAGGAGATATACTTACTGTAGCATTCTGGATTCAAGTGTCTATACATATCCTCATACCAAAAAAATAATTAACCTCTCTTTAAATACTTTGGCATATCTACTTTATTTTCTAAGTCTCTCTGTTCTCTCTATATTTTTAATAATCAATATCTAGGTCATAGACTATCATTTTAAATGTGATGAACTCAATTACCTTATCACATTGTCCATACAACATACCTATCTAGGTCAAGGGCAGTGGCTCATACCTGTAATCCCATTGCTTTAGAAGGCCAAAGTGGGAGGATCACTTGAGGCCAGTAATTCAAGACAAGCCTGGGTAATGTAGTAAGACTCCAAGACTACATCTCTACAAAAGAAAAAGAAAAAAAAAAGAACATTAGCTGGACTTGGTGGTGTGCACCTGTAGTCTCAGTTACTAGGGAGGCTGAGGCTGGGGGTCTTGAATCCAGGAATTCAAGGTTACAGGGAGCTACCACACTTCAGGCTGGAAGACAAGAGTGAGATCCTATCTTACACACCCACAAAACAAAAAACAAACAAACAAAAAAACACGATCTTAAATAAAAATACTTATAGAATGCAAGTCTACCTTGTTAGAGGATATTTGATTATGCAGATTGGTTCCTTTTTAAATTCATGACCACTAAATTCATCAGACCCTGAGTGATGTTCCAGATCCATATATGCTGCTCTTATTTTCCCTTCCTTCCTTTTGTTACTTTCCTTTTCCTTCCCTTCTTCTCTCCCCACTTCCTTCCTTCCTCCCTCCCTTCTCTCTTTCCTTGCTTCCTTCCTTTCCTTTTCTTTTCTTTACTATGATTATTTCAAAACATCTCCCATATTCACTTAAAGCTCCCCTTTGAGAAAATAACTCATTTTCTACTCCAAAAGAAATTATGAGCAATAACATAGTAATCCCCTCAAATTCTACCTCTGAGCAAGATATTTACTTGCACATGCACATTTGTTATTTTTATGTATTACAATATATAATATCATTCTCTTTCTTGTCAGACGAATTTTTTATCCCTAGGTTGTAATTTTCATCTTTGCTTTCTTCTCAAGAACCTCACTTTGACAATGGTTCCTCTCTTCTCTGTGTCTTAGTCTCATGCTTTCTAATGACTCATTCTCACAGGCTTTTACACATGCTCCGATCTATTTCAAAAAAAAAAAAACCTAAAAAACAAAAAACAACCCTATGAAAAGTTCTGAGCTATGGAGATACTTACACATGTATAAATTTTCTCAGAACTATCCATTTATTTGTGTCACAGGCAGGTGAAGATCTACATTTGTAAAACAGAAATAGTTGATACTTTTTTTTATATCTAGTCCTACCCCATTCCTTCTTTTCTATTTCCTGTCTTAGGGAAAGTCATGATCATCCAGGCAAATGGGTAAGAGATAGATGTCATTTGGTATGATATATACATATATTATAAAATTACATGTAAGTATGTGGTGATAATTTTTGGAGTTGAAGGGATGATTTTTAGGTTAAAAAGAAATATATCAAATTAGAAAAAAAAATTACCAGGCTATTTATAAAAAAGGACATTTTCACATTTACAAGTTACGTTACAATTAAACATATAAATGCAAAGGCTGAAGACATTTTTCTCTGTGAAAGATTATTTGCATATGTAATTTAAAAATATTATATTTAAATTCGAATAATATATATGCTATTTTATATATAAAATTTTAAAATTCTAGAGGTTTTTTATTAATTTTCTGTATTGTATAATGTGGAAAAATGGCAAGGGAAAAGGTAGCCAAAAGTAAAATAAGCCAAAATGTTAGTTTACATCAAATATAAACACATCAATTTATAAAAAATTCCAAGTTCAAATATGGACATCACATGAAAAAGATAAGCTTATGCATCTACCTTGTAACATAGAAATTTATACATGTCAGTCTTAAAAATATGCTTATAGAGGAGAAGCATAACTTTCCTTTGGGGCTGATTATTTTTAAACAGTATGCTCTAGATGAATATTCCTCATCCTTATGATTCTCCTATTGTTAAAAGAGTGGTGTTGTAATTACCCATAGAAAATGTGCTGAATTAACAAATTGATCAGTATGCCAAAGAAAAAGTGTTACAAGGATTTGACAGAGTATGGGGAGCAATATGCCTTTTTTTAAGCACTAAGTAACTTTAATAAATCTGAGTAAGAATTTAAGACCTGAGGCTAGCTTGTAACTGGGTAAGTGATCAATTTAAAAATCAACTCAAATTTGATATAGTCAATACTGACAGCATCAACCTAAAACAGCTGCCTCACTGCTGATGAAATAAACAAATTAATGTGGTTTCCAATGCAAAGCAATTCATTATTTCCAGAAGACTTTGAAATAAATGTTTGAAGCTGCATATATTTTCAAAGTAAGGGAGTTTAAAAAGGAACTCATAAATAACACCAAGCCAACAAAAGTAATTTTGCCCTTAGTGTATAGACATTCAGAGGCTTGTGTTTTTTGTTTATTGGTTTGCTTGAGTGTTTGGGATAATACATTGATTACCATCATACATATGCCTTGCATTTCTAAACACAATCAAAATGTTAAAAACTTCTAGAAAAGCAGGCAATGAAAATTTAGTTAGTCCATAAGTTAGAGTCAACCAGACATTATTGACTGTTTTAATATGTATAGGAATATAAAAATGAACTAAACCCATTTCTTGCCTTGAATAATGTAATGACTGAAGACATATGTTACCAATAATTACAATAGTAAGTAACAATTTCACATAGCAATTGGCTTGAAGGACAGAAAACAGTTTCTTGGGGGAAAAATTACAAAAACGCATTTCAGAAAAATGAGAACATTTAAAAACATGCAAAGTTGTATAGACATGATTGAATATGGCATATTTAGAAAGTATTAAATTGTTATGGGTGGCCAAAGGGTGGGATGTGGCCATTCTGACAGAAAAGACTGTAAAATAGTTGAGAAAACTCATGAAGACACTTGTACAACTTCACTCCATAGGGAATCATGAGATAGAGAGTAAAAACAGGATCCAGTTTTTATTTTAGAGAAATAACAACAGTGAAGATTATTGGAGAGTCAGGCTATATATACAAGGAGATTATTATGAATAGACAAGACAAAAAAATCCTAAGGATTTTCACTAAATCTCGGGGTTTTGAGTTAGAAAGAAAAAGGGATTTTTAACAAATATTAAAGGTACTTCTCCTGTCGTTGATATACTTATTTTGTGTTTTTGGCATGCTGCATTTAAACCAGTAAAAAATGTAGACTGAAACGAACTTAAATGAAATATATTCTTTAAGTCGTATATCGTAAAGGTTCTTTCAAACAAACTGCCCTTAAGTGTATCAATCATTGAGGCAGATGTGTCATTGGTGTAAATTATTTTTGTAATGTGTTTTTATTTGGCCTAATTCCTTGTAAATCTTTATATAAAAGTAAATATTTAACAGACAGCAGTGCTTTTTATCAAGTTTGCTTTTTCTGGGCATCAGAATCTTATATGAAGTTGTAGCAAAGTAAAAGAGGTTACAGCTGGTCTGGAGATCCATCTATCTGCCATGGCCAAGGAAGGCTTGTCCCTACAGTTGTCAGGTGTCGACAGGATTTGCAGCACATTACTGAACACTCACCAAAACGTGAGAATGATTTCCAATTTACTATCAGTCAAGTGAAGCAAATTTATATGAAACAAATTATTTGAGATTCTTGTTATATAAATGTTCAATTTTTCCTCATTACAACGCCACTACAGCCAAGTGAATAGTTTCTATTTTAGCCAGTTTATATTTCTCTTTTTTATTTTTGCATAGTATTTTCATGCTCTTATATATTTCTCCATTTGTCTTCTCTGGGCTGTCATTTCCAATATTAAAGCCTTCTTTGTTCTTCATAGGAAATATTCATGTTCCGTTTTTGTCCTTGCATAAAGTATAGGAATCCAATCTTTATCAAAGGTTGTGCTTTCTTGGGTTTTCTGCCATGTATTTTCTTTGTTAGTCAAGAACTACTTTCTTCCTTTCCATTCCCGCTCTCCCTCCCTATGGAGATCCAGGCTTTTTATGCCCAGTGTCCATCTGCCATTCTATTAGGTGTGCTCACGACACTGGCTTCTCAGACCTGTGAGGACTAGTCAATGTATTATTTGGCTTCTAATTTAGTATTAGGTGAAAATGGCTTTTGCATTACTTTAAAGCATCAGATCCATTGTAATTCCCATAAAAAACTAAAAACATCCCCCGGTCTTATAGCACCTTTTGTGGATTTGCTATTTAAGCATTCATATACTGTACAACATTTTGTGAGCTCTTTGCACATTGATGATAAAGTAACACGTGCCTCTGAAGAAGAATGACAAAACAACCTTAATTAGTACTATAACATACAATGTCAAGAAACCATATAATAGTAATGTGAAATTTAACTGTCATTTTTATCGAGTGTCCAGACAAAGGCTTCATGTCACTAAGAATAAAGTTAAAGATATCTAAAAATAAGAGGATATTGAGATGTTGTTTGGCACTCTGTTTGTCTCACTTATTCAAAGTGACAGCAGTTATGTCATGGTTTTACTTCCAATAGTTCTAATATGTTCAGATATAAAGATATATGATGGCTCTTTAGTCACCATGATTTTTTTGATCATAATTATGTGGACACATAACTTTATTTGTTAACATGTGTGAAGGAAAATAAATCTTGTGGCCCCCAAATCACTAAGCTAAATAGAAAAGTCAAGCTGGGAAATGCTTAGGGCTAACCTGCCTCCAATTCTATTCAAAGTCACCCCTCTGCTCACTGAGATAGATGTATAACTGATTGCCTCCTTTGGAAAGGCCAATCAGAAACTTAGAAGAATGCAGCCCCTCCTCTCTCACCTATCTGTGAACAGGAAGCCTCCCTGATTGCCTCCAGTTCTGCCTTTGCTTCAGGTTTTCCTGCCTTTCCAGACTGAACCAACGTACTTCTTACATATATTGATTGATGTCTCATGTCTCCCTAAAATGTATAAAACTAAGCTGTGCCATGACCACCTTGGGCACATATTGTCAGGGCTTCCTGAGACTCTGTCATGGGCGCACATCCTCAACCTTGGCAAAATAAACTTTCTTAATTAACTGAGACCTGTCTCAAATTTTCGAAGTTCACACATGAAGAAAAATAAATATTTATCTTCCAAATAATGCACTTTTAAAAATCAGCATAGTATGATATTACAAACTACTGCATAGGTGTTAAAAATAAAATGTTTTGGTAGGGCACCGTGGCTTACACCTGTAATCCCAGCACTTTGGGAGGCCGAGGCTGGCGGATCACGAGGTCAGGAGATCAAGACCATCCTGGATAGCACAGCGAAACCCGTCTCTACTAAAATTACAAAAAATTAGCCGGGCGTGGTGGCGGGCGCCTGTAGTCCCAGCTACTGGGGAGGCTGAGGCAGGAGAATGGTGTGAACCCAGGAAGCGGAGCTTGCAGTGAACCGAGATCGCGCCACTGCACTCCAGCCTGGGCGACAGAGCAAGACTCCGTCTCAATAAATAAATAAATGAATAAAATAAAATAAAATAAAATTTTTTTAATCTTATAGAATTTAGAATTTCAAGTTAAATATTATTAAATTTTATACTACAATAAGAATATAAATATCAAGTAAAACATTATTTATCTTAACATCTCTTAAATATGTGGACCTATATAAAGAACTACAGAACACATATAATGTTTAACATATTTAAAGAGTGAGAAGTTTTAAATTTTCTAAGACTAACATTCTGGCCCATTTTAGAATATATCTTTCAATTATACTTAATCACATATTGAAATTCCAAGAAACATAAAAATAAGACTCTGGAGTCCAGTTGAACTAAAGTATATTATTTTGATAGTGTTTTTTTACTGGTATAAATAAATATTACAATAACTTGCAGATCATAAACAAAACACATACATAAAAAGACGTCCTTAATCTTTCTGATGAAGATTGCTACAATAGCAAATCACATAGTGTCTAGATGGGGCCCATTAAATATTTGTAGAGTATTTTAAAACTATTTTGTGCATGATGATGATGGGAGAGTTATTATTTATGACCAAAGTTTCACTATGACCTTGGGAAAGAGAAGGGCTATAAATATTTATTTTTAAATGTTATGATGATATTATCTAATGAAATGTTTGTCAAATTGCAGATCTAGACTCTTAGTGGATCATGGATTTAATGCACTAGTTTGTGACTAACATTTCAATATGAAATAGACTGGAATAAAATAGGAGACAGTGTACCAAAAAACAGTGTACACTTTTAATACATAGAAGAAATATACTTCATAAAATTTTTACTTGTTTTACATATTCTTTTTTTACTATTTAGCCAGTAAAAGCCAGTATGTCCATACCAGCTGTTTATGTTTGATATTTATACAAATTGTTTAATCCATGTATTGTGATGCTGGATTCCATTCCATAAGTAATGTTAAATGTCTTCAGTACAAAACCTGGATATTATTTACATAATTTTAATGTTTATAGGTCACATATTCTTCTTACTGTTATTCATAATCAAAAATGTTAGAGCTTGCGACTACAGTGAAATTTTCTATAATAATGGGAGGTGATAATGAAATTTGTTAAACATACTGCATTAACAAATGGCACCAGCTAACAAAGTTAGTTTCTAGCAAAAAATAAAAACAAAACTATTGTTAATATTTTTAAAAGTAGATTTTTCACTCTGAACATCTAGATGGTATACATTCTGGAGTATACCATCTATATTGGAGAAAAAATTTAGGAATGAGAGTATTATTCTTTTCTATTAACTGGCATGCTTTCTTTTTATTCTCTTATTCCAGTTTGAGGTCAATCCAAAAACTTCATGGAGCTGAATGTTTCCATTTTCCAGTAATGCATAAAAACATAAACTGTATGAACTATGAATAGATAAAAGTGAGTGGCCAAGAGTATTACCATCTTGAAGGCTGCTGCATTTAAATGGTGAAATAGTTATAATTCAGGTCAGCATCCTAATGCAAATTATATCCATTCTAGAGAAGAACTGGGTATTTCTAGCTACTACATGTTTTTGTGTACAAGAAGAAAACTGAGAAATAATGTTCTTGCCATCAGAAAAAGCAGCCCTACCAACTTGTTCTATTCTATTCACAGCGTTGTATAATAATCCCATTCCCTCTCACCCTGAAAAAGACAGATTATTGACTATATTCCACATTTATTACTTCATTTTCCCTTTAGAAATAGTTACCCCCAGGAGTTTTTTAATATCAAGCTATAAAGTTATGTGAGAAAGTTAAGTTTATAAGGCAACATATATGTGTGTATATGTGTAAGGTTATGAATCTTTATTCTGAATAAAATTTGAATATATTTTAGAGGAGACTTCTAATCAATTCTTAAATAAAGTGACAACTTTAAATTATCAGCCAATGTTGTTGCTTATTGCAATGGTTTCTCAAATATACAGAAAAACATTGAAAAAGAAAGTGACTTGTTCCACATTATGTATCTTGGATATGAAACACAGTGAGCTCTTGTAGATCTGACAGTCACGAAGGAAACAATACTCATTATGTATTTACATTTATTGGATTAAAACTCTGTATGTGCCCTGTTCAATTAATAATAATATAGAATAGAGTGAACTATGAAATACAGTGTGCCTTTTTAAAAGCCCTAATATGGAAAAAGACAAGCAGTTTGTCCTAATGAATGCATCTAATTGGTGCACTTTATTATAAAACACTGGAGCAGCATTTTTCAAGAGGCAGTTCTATTTGTAACTGACTGTCTTCAGCATGTCATGGTGTAATAAATGTGCTGCCGACTAGAACTGCTGATTAGCATTTCTGGAATCACAAGAAGTTAGTAAAAGCTGTTTGCCATTAAAGAAAGACCTTTTTAGCAGTCTTCAGAAAGAGAGCTATAGTCCAACGACCTATGGTTGTTATTCAGTGTAAGTAACTTCTGGAAGATTTCCTATAATCTATTTGGTGATCTATGCACGTGATCAAAAAGAAAGAAAATGCTAATGAGAAAATTATGTTATATTGTTGTAATGTTACAATATTTCAATATTTCTACATAAGTATGTTTGAAACGTCTATTGCAAGGAGTAGCCTTCACTATAATTATCTAAAACACACTATTATTATTTTTGCATTTTGTTTTATGCTTCTCAATAACTCAGAGTCAACAATAAATGTAAATAAAACACCATTGAAAAGTAAAATGAATAAGAACTAGATATTAATAGAGTGGAGAATGACAAGTGAGGCCAAAGCAAAATTCTCTTAATAGAATTTGAATGGCACACTAAAAGAAAAATGTTATTCATTTTTTAATAGAAAATATAATACAGTGCAAAATTGCTGAGACATCAGGTAGCTATTAAATCCTGAAAATATTAAAACTATGCATTTAATAATCATTTTTAGGATTCAAAATGAGAGCAAAGACACAAATCATATGCTGCTAAATAGTAATTTTCAGTGCGTTCAGCCTATTAGTATACTGTTACTCAATTTTTTCTATTAATTATTTCTAAAAGTTGAGTCTCATAATTCACATATTTTTAACTTCAATTTAAACAAAATAGTTTTACATAGCTGGATCCCCTCAAGTTTTTGTGATTAAAGTAAATATGTAAATATTTTTATATTACGAAAGGAAGTTATTTTTAACAACGGTCCTCTGAATTGAAAACCATGATAACTTAAAATACAATGCATATAGTCAGTGGACAAAAAAGATACATTGAATTCTTGATGAATAGATATTGTAACAGACAAAAGATATTTTTACATAGTTTAAAAAGGGGGAGGGAGAAGGGGAGAATATATCGGCTCAGAGACAAAAAGGAGGGGAAAAGACAAAGTATTGGAACAGAATTAACTACAAACTGACTTTCAGGCTTCCAAAACTCTTGCTCTAACTATTGTCTTTTATTCTTTTTGCTTCACTCCCTCCCACTGTAGTCCAATTTGCTATAAAGGCGCCTCCTTCTCCTAAGAACCATGTGTTATCTATGTAACTGTTGGCTCCCCATTTTAAAATCAAGATAAAGAAATAACGGGCCATATTTAGTAAGGTGCTTACAGATAGAATAACCAACTTGGATAAACTAAGATCAGGTGGTGAAGTATTTTATTAACATGGGTCAGTTCCATAAAAAGAAGTGCATGTGAGTAATATCAGAGAGAACGACAAAATAGGAAGTGCCAGGAATCTGTCTCTCCACCTAGACATTAATTATACTGGCAGAAACCATCTGACGTGATTGTTGCGGAATTCTGAAGTCTACTTGAATGCTTGCAACTTCCAAGTGAAAGCTCGACTGTAAAATTACCGCTAATATCAGTAAATACCAGCGTGATAGTAACTATCCATCCCCCATTCCTTAGTGTTGAGTCAGGCAGCTGTGGGGCCACAACCCACAGGAACAGCTACAGGAGTTAGGGCAGGCAATAAAGACCTTATCCTCCATACTGGGATTCTGTATTCTAGTTCTACTAGGGATGAAAGAAGAAATAAAAGCACAGAAGATGGCTGACATTGTTTCAACACCCACTGTCTGAGCAGCTTCTAGGGAAATTAAAGGGACTACACTTTTCTTTTTGAAACTTCAAAAACAATTGCACGTAGAGTAGAAATTGAAAAGTGATGAACTTTTCCCTGCATAGATGCACAGAAAAAGACACAGGTTCAGAAATAAATCTGAGAATGTTTTCTTTGCTATGCAGAAGATTATAGTTTAACATATTTCCACTTGTCTATTTTTGCTTTTGTTGCCTGTGCTTTTGGGTCACATCCAAAACATTATTGCCAAAATCAATATAAAGGAAGTTTTCCCTTATGTTTTCTTCTAGGAATATAGCAGTTTCAGGTATTATGTTTAAGTCTTTAATTCGTTTTGTGTAGATTTTGTGTGTAGTATAAGATAAGGGGCCAATTTTATTCATTTGCATATGAGTATTCAGTTTTTCCAACACAGCTTATTGACAAAACTGCCGTTTCATTATTGTGCATTCTTGACATATTTGTTGAAGATCAATTGACCATACATGCATGGGTTTATCTGGGGTCTCTCTATTCTGTTTCATTGGTCTATATATTTGTTTTTATTCTAGTACATTTTGATTACTGTAGCTTTGTAATATATTCCGAAATCAGGCAGTGTGAATGAAGCCTTCAGTTTCGCAATGGTAACAACCAACAAAATAAAAACAATCTACAGAATGGGAGAAAATGTTTGCAAACCATCTGATAAAGTGTTAACTCTAAAATATATAAGGAACTATTTCAACTCAATAGCAAAAAATTCCCCAAATAACTCAGTTGATGACAACAGCAATTTTAAAAATTGGCAAAGGAACTGAATTGAATACATGTTTCTCCAAAGAACATATACAAATGGCCCACAGGTACATGTAAAAAGTGCTGAATGTCACCTATTATCGGTGAAATGCAAATCAAAACCACAATGGAATATCATCTTACATATCTTAGGATGGCTAATATTTAAAAAAATAAGAATAAGCACTGGCAAGAATATGAAGAAAGGGAGCCCTTGTATGCTGTTGGTGGGGATATAAATTAGCACAGTCACTAAGGAAAACAATATGGAGGTTTCTCAAAAAATTATAAATAGAAATACCATATCATTTAGGAATTCTACTTCTGGGTATACGCACAAAATAATTGAAATGAGGTTCTCAAAAAGATTTCTGCACTCCTTGTTTCTACAATGTTTATTGCAAAATTATTAACAATTGCCAAAACATGGAAGCACCTTAAGGCCCATTGCCTGTTGAATCAATAAAGAAAATGTGGAACATATATATAGTGAAATATTATTCCATGTTAACAAAGAAGGAAATTTTGCCATTTGTGACCATATGGATAAACTTGGATGACACTTAATCTAAATGAAATAAGCTAGACACAAAAGAACAAATATTACCAGATGCCACTTATAGGGGAAACTAAAATATTCAAAATCATAAAAACAAGTAAAATGATTGTTGCTAAAGGCAAAGGAAGGAAGAAATGGGAGTCATTAGTCAAGGGGTATAAAGTTTCAGTTATGCAACATAATTAAGTCTTAGATCTACCATACAGTATAATGCCTATAGTTAATAATATTGTGTTGCATACCCTGAAATTATTTAATGTGGCCATGCATTTTTTTATTTTTTAATTAATTTTTTTATTTCTATAAGTTATTGGGGAACAAGTGGTATTTGATTACATGTGAGATTTTGGTGCACCCATCACCTGAGCAGTATGCAATGCACCCAATTTGTGGTCTTTCATCCCTTACCACCTTCCCTCCCTTTCCCCCCAAGTCCCCAAAGTCCATTGTGTCATTGTTATGCCTTTGTATCCTCATAGCTTAGCTTCCACTTATGAGAACACACAATGTTTGATTTTCTATTCCTGAGTTACTTCACTTAGAATAAGTCCCCAATCTCATCCAGGTCACTGCAAATGCTGTTAATTTATTCCTTTTTAATGCTGAGTAGTATTTCTATATATATATAAGTGTATATATATATATATGTGTGTGTATACACACACACACACACATATACATATGTATATATGTAACAAAATTTCTTTATCCGTTTGTTGATTGATGGGCATTTGGGTTGGTTCCATGAAATTAAATCAGCAATAAAAAAACTCAAAGAAATTTCCTGGATGATATGCATTCACCAATAAAATCTACCTAATATTTAAAGAATTAACATCAATCCTTCTCAAACTTTTGCAAAAGAATAAAAAGAAGTTGATATTCACCTGAGGTGGGCAGACAGGAAAGAAAGAAAGAAAGAAAGAGAGAGAGAGAGAGAGAGAAAGAAAGAAAGAAAGAAGAAAGAAAGAAAGAAAGAAAGAAAGAGAGAGAAAGAAAGAAAGAAAGAAAGAAAGAAAGAAAGAAAGAAAGAAAGAAAGGGAAAGAGAGAAAGAGGGAAAGAGGGAAATAGGGAAAGAGAGAAAGAAGGAGAGAAGAAGAGAAGGAAAGAAAGGGGAAGGGGAAGGAGAAGGGGAAGAGAAGGGAAGGGAAAGGAGGGAGGGAGGGAGAAGGAAGGAAGGAAGGAAGAAAGGAAGATTCCTAATTTATTCTATGAGGAGAGCATCATCTCATGCCAAAGCTGGATAAAGAGATGAGACAGAAAGAAAAAGAGAGAGGGAAAGAAGGAAGGAAGGAAGGAAGGAAGGAGAAGGGAAGGGAAGAAAGAAAGGGAAGGAAAGAGGAAAAGAAGGAAGGAAGATAAAAAAAGAAGGGATAAAAAAGGAGAAAATTATAAGCTTCAACAAAATATTAGAAAAGTGAATCCAAAAGCATGCTAAACAATTATTCTCCATGACCAACAGGGATTTATCTCACAAATGCAAGGATAGTTGAACGTAAGAGACTCAATCAATGCTACATAACATATTAGCAGAACTAATGGAAAAAAAAAGCATAATCATCTCAATTGACACATAATGTTTTTGAAAATTCTAATGCTCTGTCATAATTTTTTTAAAAAACTACTCACAAAACTCAGAGTAGAAGGAAAATTTCTCAACTTAATAACTTTATAAAGAGTTTTTATTTAAAAAAACTCAGCTAATAATATACTTCGTGGAAAACTAAAAGATTTCCCCCTAAGATCAGTAATAAGGCAAAAATGGTGACTTTCAGTGCTCCTATTAATCCTATTCATCATTGTACTGGAAGTTTTTTTTTTTTTTTTTGTACTGGAAGTATTACCTAGAGCTATTTAATAAGAAAAATAAAATAAAATACTTCCAAATTAGAACGTAAGAGGTAAAACTATCTTTATTTATAGATGGAATGAATCCAAAGAATCCATAAAAAGCTGCTATTATTTATAAACAAATTAAGTAAGTTTGCAGGGTACAAAATAGACACAGAAAAATGAGTTTTTTGTACTATAGCAATAAACAGTCTGAAAAGGGAATTATGAAATGAATTCCATTCACAATAGCATCTAAAAGAATTAAATACTTAGGAATAAACCTATCTAAGGAGGTGAAAGTCTTTCATACTGAAAACTATTACTAACTAGACCATTACTTTTAATGGCAAAAACCACAATTACTTTTGCACCAACCTATACAAAATATTGCAGAAAGAAATAAGATAAGACTTAAGTTAAAAAAAAAGACATCCCATATTCATACATAAGAAGACTTAACATTGTTAAAGTGTTAATACTATAGAAATTGATCACCAGATTCAACTCAATTCCTATAAAGGCAGCATTTTTCCAAAAAATGGAAAAACCAATTCTTACATTTATATGGAAAGTTAATAAGCCCCAAATCATCAAAACTATCTTGAAAAAGAATAATAAATTTGGAGGACTCACACTTCCCAACTTTGAAACTTACCACAAAGCTACAGTGATTAAAACAGTATGGTACTAGCATAAGAAAAAAACAATGGAATAAAATAGAAAGCTCAAAACTAAAACCTCAACTATATTGCTAATTGATTTTTGACAAGGGTGCCAAGATCACTTAATGAGGAGAGGACTGTCTTTTCAACAAATGGTGCTGGAAAAACTGGATATCTACATGAAAATGAAGAAAAAGCTGAACCCTCACCTTAAGCCTTATACAAATACCGGCTTAAAATGAATGAAAGAGCTACATTTTAGAGCTAAAACTACGAGGACCTTGGAATAAAACATTAAGGAATATCTTTATGACCTTGGATTTGGCAACAATCTCACAGCCATGGCACCAAAAGCCCAGGCAACAACAACAACAGGATAAACTGTAGTTCATTCAAATTAAAAACTTTTGTGCATCAAAACATATGATCAAGAAAGTGAAGAGACAGCTTACAAAATGGGACAAAATAATTTCAGGTCATGTAATTGATAATAGATTAACATCCAGAATATATAAAGAACTCCAACAATTTAACAGTAGCAACGATAAATAAATAAATAGGCAAAAGATTTGAATACACATTTCTACAATTAAGATATACAAATGGCCACTAAACATTTATATGTATATAAATGCTATAAAATATAAAATTATATATATACACATATATATATATATGGAAATATGCTCAATGTTGTTAGTCATTGAAGAAAATGTAAATCAAAACCACAATGAGCTACCACTTTATACGTACCAGGATAAGTATAAAAAAAAGGTGGGGGGGGAATAATAAGTCTTGCTGAAGATGTTGAGAAATTAGAGCCTTTGTGCATTGCTGGTAGAAATGTAAAATGCTGCTGCTGCTGTGGAAAACAGTTTGGTAGTTTCTCAAAAGGCTAAACAAAACTACCATATGATCCAGGAATTCAACTCCTATATATCCCAAATAACTAAAAGCAGGTACTACAACAGACATTCGTAAATAAATATTCACGGGAAAATCATTCACAATAGTGAAAAGTTGGAAACAACTTAAGTGTCTGTTAATAGATAAATAGATAATAAAATGTGACATACACATGCAATAGAATAAAACTCAGCCATGAAAATGAAATGAAATTTTGATATAAGCTACAATAGGAATAGGCATTGAAAACATTATGCTCGGTATAATAAGCCAGATAAATACAGAAGGACAAATATTACATGATTTTACTTATATGAGGTACCAAAAATAGGCAAAACCACAGAGATAAGATATCTTATATCTTAATATAAGAAGGATAGCAAGAGTTGTAAGGAGAGGGGAATGGGGGACCATTTTTTAGCAGATACAGAGTTTCTGTTGGGGATGATGAAAATGTTTTAGGGGTAGATAAGAGTCATGTTACACAACACTGTGAATATATTTGATGCTGTTAAACTGTACATTTGTAATGGTTAAAATGATAAATATTATAGCATGTGTAGTTGAACACAAGAAAAAAATAAATAAAATATTTTTTTGAGTAGCAATTTTTTAGGACTCTGAGCAAGTGATTTATATAATTGCCTTGATTTCTCTCTATTTTAAACTGTACACATTCAGTAATAAATACGGTTATTATACCAAAATAACACACATACAAACAAATATCTATGTACACTTTAATCACTAAAAATTAATAAAGCACCTATTTTAGAATAGTCTCTCTCAGATAACAGAAATTATAGGCAAAGGCACTCGTTCAATATTTTTAAATTTTTGTTTCTGCTTGTGTAGATCACATCATAAATTCACTCAGATTGATGACATCTGGGCCTTTTGTTCAGGAAAATAAACTCCCCTATACACATCACAAATACACACACACCACACATACACACTGTAATCAGGACCTGTTTGAGTTCAAATACTCTTTGTGTTCCATTAATGGGTCTCAGTTTCACAAACTTTTTTTTTTTTTTTTTTTGAGACGGAGTCTCACTCTGTCGCCCAGGCTGGAGTGCAATGGCATGACCTCGTCTCACTGCAAGCTCTACCTCCCGGGTTCATGTCATTCTCCTGCCTCAGCCTCCCAAGTAGCTGGGACTACAGTCCCCCACCACAATGCCCGGCTAATTTTTTGTATTTTTAGTAGAGACGTGTTTTCACCATGTTAGCCAGGATGGTCTCGGTCTCCTGACCTCATGATCCGCCCGCCTCGGCCTCCCAAAGTGCTGGGATTACAGAAGTGAGCCCCCGCGCCTGTCCTCAGTTTCAGAAAACTGTAAAGAAAACTTTATGTAATTCTCTCACAAAAGAATAAGGAGGCTCTGATAAGAAAATGTGATAACTAAAAGCACTCCATTGACCGGAATGTGAAAGTGGCCATGTCATCCTTTCTTCTCTCCTGAAAGTATGATATACAATACATATTCTAATTGTACATTCTAGCTTTGATTGAGATTAAAACTCAATTTGATTCTACTCTATATTAACTTATGGTTATGAAAACAAAAATGTAGAAGGGAAAGGTTTTATTTTTTGCAGTTCTTAACTAATGTTTTAACTTTTCTGGAAGAAGTAGTAGTGATGATATATCATGTATTTGGAAATAATAAATTTGTCATTTCAAGAATTTGTTTAGGTTGATTTTTAATTGCCACATATGTGCATATTTGCATAGCCTTGACATTTAATATTTTTAAACATCTCCTTCAAAGTTACAAAAAAATTAATATTTGTCATTTGCATACTGAAAGTATCATTTACAATTCAATCCACAAATTTGTTCTTCGTAGAACTTCTTATAAAGAATTATCTTTCATTACCTTACAATTACTCTTTCATTATACTCTTCTCAGACACCAGTCAGATTTATCAAGTGTAGCCTTAATAGCATCTAAACTTTATTGCTATAACTGGAAATACCGAGGGATGTCTTACAGTACAAAGCCATTAACACTGCTCATGAAATTCAGTGCCTTACAGAACCTAATGGACTTGCAATCATTTCTAAGGAGCTAAAAAGCAGCAACCACCAGTGTGTTTCATGTTCAATTACTTATTTCTCATACATAATCACTTTTATCTCCGAGGTTACAAACTTAGTACTACTTAGCTATTTACTCTTCATAAACAATCTAACCACACTTATGGATATCAAGTCACAATAGAGATTATAATACATGAGGGCTTATAATAGGCTTCTTAATACAGCCCATTACATTCTTATTATTGTTCAATATTGACATCACCAAAGTGAATGATGATAATTATGTTTCAGAATATTTAATAAAAATGCACACATAACATAATAAAATGTTACTATGTACCAAAAAGAAAAGAATAGTTTTTGGTATGAAACAGTTGAATCATTAAAAATGTTGTGAAAATGATTTCAAAGATTTTTTTTGTGACACAAATGTAATACCAGATAAAACCATGACAAAAAATTACATGAAAAATTAAACTAGGGCATTTCAAAACATAAAATCTTGTTAAAGTGTAAATAGCTAGAGGATATATACAAGTTTCTATCACACTCAAACATATAAACAAATGTTGTGCATTTTTTAAATAAAAATCTTACATTTAATGATTCTTTTCATAAAATAGCGTGTATAAAGCAGGCCAGATATGACTTGTTTAGATTTGTAAATGATTCACAATTATGACAATTGTAAGAAAATTGTTGATGATTATATTTCAATAGGAAATGGAGGTCTTATACATCTTAGCCAGTTATCATAAGTCATAACTGAAAGTCAACCTAAATGCCAGTTTAGATAGGTAGATACTTGAAACATGCCTTTAAACATATATAGTATAAAGCAGGATATTGTGGAGTCACTAACTAATGAACATGAAAAAGAGTCAGATTAATAAAATTCATAAAATGTGATGTAGGAGTCTCTTTATAAAACACTTTGTAAATCCTCAAAAAAAAAATCTAGAATGTGTGGGGACAGGTCACTTGGTTAGGAGTTTGTAGGCATATATTAAAATGGATGTTGGATATCAGGCCAGTATATGGTTTTACTAACATGCTCAAGGAATATTTGTTCTAAAAAAATTTTGTGGAAAAATATCCTATCTTAAATCACTTTGGAAACTACAACATAATACACCCTCCTCTATGACCATCAAGGTTACGTTAGCATATCAAAGACTGAGAGATCCTGATGAAAATTTATTTAACTTCATTAGCCTATCATTTGCCAAACTCATTATAATAATTATTTTATTTTATATAATACACTTTATTTTACTATTTATATTAGTGTGTCACTGTTTGGGAGGTGTATTACAGACAGCATACATTGACTTTTTAAAACCTAATTTCATTGATTATTAGACAGACTACCTGCTTACCCTGTTATAAAAATGAAAAGTATTGCATTTCCTTGGACTTAATTTTGTCATCCTACTTTATTCATTTCTATGCTTTTCACATGTGCACACACACACAAAGTGTGGGTGTATATATACACCCTTTTTTATATATAGACATATATACTATATATATCTATGTATATAGATATATATATCTATATATAGATACTTTTTTATATATAGATATATATACCGAGGATGATAGATGTATATACACACACACACTAAGGATTTTATTGACAACTTTGAAGCTTTAAAAAGTGTTTTAATGTGAAGTTATCAAATTAGTTGTAATATCTAGAAGTGAGTGTCTGCTAGGAACTAATTGGACAATAAATACAAATATAGGTATTTAGGATCTAGTATATATCTATAATATGTTATACATTATATATAACATATAACATATAGTATATTAATATATACTATATAATGTATATTCTATATTAGCCTCTTTCCCTTCCTTTTTTGGCATAAATTATAGTTAGTATATTTTGTCATTTACAATAATTCACTTACATTTTATAATATATTTTGTGTATCTACTTTTCAAGAATATCAAAAATAAAAACATTATTCTGTAGTAACTTTTTAAAATGTTAATATATCTTCTTTCTAATCAATTTCATTGCTCAACATTTATCCTTTTCATGACAGTGGCTCTCACTATTTAACTAATGTCTGTAACACTTTATTTTCTAAAAATATGCCATTTTACCCTTACCACAGGTCACTGAAGTTAGTGCTTTATATTCCCTGTATCATTATAATGTCATTTAAATCACAAGAAAATTATAGAAATTATGCCAATATTTCTGATACCTTTCATTTACATTTAATGTAATGTAGCTTCTTCTACAACTTGATACCAACATTTAAGAAATAAAGAATTAATTATGAAATTGAACTTAAATGAAAAAATAAAGTCTAACGTCTTGAAAACATTCAAACAAATATTTATTTACTATTGGGTGTTTTCTTATTTTATTTACATTTAAACTTATTAAATTATTTATCTGACAAATATACTTGTATATTTGGTTTCTTCTTCACCAGATATATGATATCAATTTAGCACACCAGATGTTCTTATGTTTCACAGACCAAAATTGTATCTATTTTCATAAAATTACCAGGAATACATTTAGGTCATATTGCACTAGTTTTTAGAACACATATAAGCTACCAAGTTTTTAAGATACATAAAGGCCTACTTTGTTTTATTGTGCTTCACTTTATTATGCTTCCCAGGTATTGCATTTTTTTTCATTGAAGATTTATGGCAACTCTGAGTCAAGCAAGTCTATTGTTGTCTCTATTTCCCCAACAGCATGTATTATTACTTCATGTTTCTGTGTCACATTTTAGTAATTCTTACACCGTTTCAAATTTTTATTACTATAACATTTCTTACAGTGATCTATCATCAATGATTATTAACATTACTACTGCAATCGTTTTGGGTGACATAAACCACATCCATATAAGACAGCAAAACTTAATGGATAAATGTTGTGTGTGCTCTGAATGTTCCATGATCCAGCCATTCTTCCATCTCTCTCTCACTTCTCAAGCCTGCCTAATTCCTGAGACACAAAAGTACTAAAATTAGGTCAATAAGGCTACAATGGACTATAAGTGTTCAAACGAAAGAAAAAGTTACACATCTCTAACTTTAAATAAACAACTAGAAATAATTAAGTGAGGAAGCTATGTTGAAAGCCGATATAGTTTTAAATCTAGGCCTCTTGTTACATAGAGTTAACCAAGTTCTGAATGCAAAGGAAAAGTTCTTGAAGAAAATTAAAAGTGCTACTCCAGTGAACAAGTGAATGATAAGAATGTGAAATAGCCTCATTGCTGATATGGAGACAGCTTTAGGGGTCTGGATAGAAGACCAAACCAGCCACAACATTCCCTTAAGCCAAAACCTAAGACAGAGAAGGGCCCTAACTCTCTTCAACTCTATGAGGACTGACAGAGTTGAGCAAGCTGCAAAAGAAAAGTTGAAAGGTAACAAAGGTTGGTTCGTGAAGTTTACGAAGCCATCTTCATAACATAGAAATACAAAGTGAAGCATCAAGTGTGGGTGTGGAGGCTGCAGCAAATTATTCAGATCTGAGATAATTGATGAAGAGGGCTACCCTAAACAATAGATTTTCTAAAGATGGAATACTATTCTGATGGAAGAAGATGCCATATAGAATTTTCAAAGTAGAGTGAAGAAGTCAATGTCTGGCTTTAAAGCTTCAAAGTACATGTGACTCTTTTGTTATGGGCTAATGCAGCTGGCGACTTTAAGTTGAAGTCAGTTCTCATCTACCATGCCAATAATTCCATGGCCCTTAAGAATTATGCTAAATTTACTCAGCTTGTACTATATAAATAGAACAACAAAGCCTGCATGACAACACATCAATTTTATCATGGTTTACTGAATATTTTAAGTCCGCTGTTGAGACCTACTGCTCAGGAAACAAACATAAAACAGAAAGATTCCTTTCAAAATACTGCTCATTGACAATGATCTTAGTCAATCAAGAGCTCTTATGGAGATATACAAGGAGATTAATGTTGTTTTCATTCCTGATAACACAACATTCATTCTGTAGCCCATGAATCAAAGAGTGATTTTTGGCTGTTAAGTCTTATTATTTAGGAAATACATTTGAAAGGCTATAGCTGCCACAAAGAGTAATTTCTCTGATGGATCTGCACAAAGTAAATTGAAAACCTTATGGAAAGAATTCATCATTCTAGATGTCATTAAGAATATTTATGACTCATAGAAGATCAAAATATCAACACTCATAAGAGTTTGGAAGAAATTGACTTCAAGTCTCATGAATGACTTTGAGGAGTTAAAGATTTCAGTGGAGGAAGTAACTGCAGATGTGGTAGCAACAGCAGGAGAACTAAAATTAGAAATGGAATTGGAATCTGTGACTGAATTGGTGCAACCTGAGAATAAAACTTTAAAGGATAAGAAATTACTTATTTTGGATAAGCAAAGAAAGTGGTTTCTTGAGATGAAACCTCTTCCTGGTGAAGATGCTATGAGCACTGTTGAAATGACAATAAATGATTTAAAATATTACATAAAATTTGTTGATAAAGCAGTGGCAGGGTTTGTGAGGACTGACTCCAATTTTGAAAGAAGTTCTGCTATAGGTAGAATGCTATCAAACAGCATTGCATGCTACCAAAATTTTATTTGTGAAAAAAAAAAAAGAGAGTCAGTTGATACAGGAAACTTCATTGTCATCCTATTTTTAAAAATCTGCAAAGCTACCCCAACTTTGAGGAATCACCACCCTGATTAGTCAGCACCATTCAACATCAAGTCAAGACCCTCTACCAGCAAAATGCATACAATCACTGAAGGCTATATTGATTATTAGCATGTTTTAGCACAAAAGTATTTTAAATTAAGGTATACACATTTTTAAGACATAATGTTATTGCATGCTGAATAGATTACAGTATAGTCTAAACATTACTCCCTGAGAAGCCAAAAAGTCCACATGACTTGCTTTATTGTGATATTGGCTTTATTGTGGTGATCTGGAACCAAACCTGCAGTGTTTCTAAGATATGTCTGCATGCTGCTGGATGATACTTTTTGTAATCCACTGACTGCTCTTTAAATAGAGGGAAGGAGGTATAGGCCAATCCATTAATTTGGATACCTTGATTAAACCATCTGATTAGTAAGTTCATTTATCTGATATATAACCTCAAAAAATGTCCTTACATCCTCATAGAGTTATCATATTTGAAATAACTTATTTAAACCGATTATGTACTTATCACATACATACAGCACATAGTATGATTTAAATAAATGTTAGCTATGAGTATTCCAAAGTGAATAAAAGTAAAATTAGTTTTTAAACATTTTTAAAGTGTTGAAAAATGATTCTTACTTTTGGTAGCACCCAAGGAAAAGATAATGCTACTCAGCACAGATTTGCTTAACATTCATTTTGAAAGCAGTCTTGTCTTACTAAAGAGGGAAACAGGAAAATTCAAGCCCTAATCATTTCTGTATGTTGTTTGAAAAAGTTAAAGATAAAAGAAGTATTAATCAAATAAATATCAGCAGTAGAAAGTTATAACAATATAATAGGAAATCAAGACAGTAAATATATGAATTTATATACCTACAATATGTATTTCTAGGATAAATATTCATTATAATAGTTTTATTCTAGAAATTTTTTGAACATTTTTATACAAGTGATCTTTTTTCAGCTCATGGAATGCTGCTATTCATTTTTAAAAGCAAGAAGAAATGAATAGTACAGTAAAGCAATCTATTTTATTTAGATATTCTTCAAAAAGAAGCAAATTGTTTTTTAACCTCCCTGGCACTATTGAAAGGTATATATCAAGGAACATGTATTAGTATTGTAAAAAAAAAAAAGCCCTACATAGTAACAATGTATATCTTATTGCAAAAATACCTAAAATCATAAGCTTTGATTTAAACTCAATCTTTCATTTGCTAGCTTTATGATACTACCCATATCTCTTTAAATAAAGAAGTCAGTTTTCTTACCAACAAAATATGAAAAAATAATACCTACTCTGTTTTACCTGGATCAAGAATTCATAATGCATGTCCATTTTTATACAAAAACGGCAATAAAAATAGGACTGTATGTGAATGTCTTTTTCTCTGCAACTGTTCCTTATTTTAGATAATTCATTGCTAACAGCATTTTGCTAATTTTCACAGAATGTTTTTTGCAAAGAATAATAATCCTATGAGAAACAAAGTAAATAGGACCTATACAGATTTTTTTAAAAAATAGTGGTGTACACACAGCATAGAGAACCCTATAGTGAATAAGTAGAAATGATTCCAGATTTGTAGTTTGTAAGATCATTCATTTTATCAGGTAAATTCTATCACATAAAACATATCCAGAAAAAAAAGTTTTCTGGTCAATAGTTTTGTTTTTCAATGCTTTTCAAAGTCATTAGCTCCATAGGCCAAGTGAATTCTCTTTAAATGGATGCATTGTTTTCAGAAAAAAAAGGTGGAAAACTCAATTACTATACCAACATTCACAGACATATAATACCTCATATAAGCATGACAACAAAAACTGAATAAAAGGATTGTGGATTTTTTTAAGTGATAGTCTTAAGGTTGATCAAACTACTATAAAAATTAATCAATCAATAACTAAATGAGCTTCATTTAAGGTCAATATTTTAATACTACTTTAGGAAATATGTCACTGTTACTTGGAACTAGAGAGATAGGAACATTTACGGTTAGACATTGGTGGCTCTAGAGTCAAAGTTTAAATAGGGGTATGGCTAAGCTTATGATAGTACATTTATATAGAAATTGTAAATAGTTCTTAGGATTTCACTGTTACTTTACCAAGAGGTATAACATTAAACAATTAACAAAACACCAAAATCTGTTGTGCTTAAACACTACCCTTCTTTTTTACTGTAAACAATAATATATCCAGGATTGTGCTGGATATTTGTTTTAAGTATCTATAATTTCTTCTTTAGGATGTACAATAGAGTATAATATAAAATGTGTAGATTGAGTATTTTCAGATACATATTTTTTAAATTTTTCATAAATTAACAATTATTAGGAATAATATAAATAACAAAGATACAATTAAGAAAAATGAGATATTGCCTCACTGACTTTTTATGCACCATTCTGTAAACTTATATACAACCAATAACCAATTCTAGTCACTATTTTAAGCAAATACACAGGTAATGAATTATTCAAAATGAGTGTATTAGACATACTGTCCACCTGAGAGTCTAACAATTTACCGATTTTCATTGCTTTAATATGATCTATTCAAAGGAAAGTGCTCAGAATTCTGTGAATATTTCATTTATCTTCACATCACCTAGAGACTCATCTTTGCCTTTTGTCTCTATTCAAGTAATTCATTCCATCCTTTTTTATTTTTATTTTTATACTTTTTATGTACAGAGATGTTTATTATATTATCATAGCAGAATACCAGAAAGTATAATTAACAATATAAAAGTGTTAAATCATGGTACAGATACAGAATGGCATTTTAGATATCCATTAAAGATTTTTACAAAGATTTTCAACCCCATATGGAAATATATATCACATAATTTTAAATTTAATTTTACATTTTTTCTTACAAGTTTTAGATTCAGGGGGTAAATGTACAGGTTTCTTACATGTGTAAATGGTGTGTCATGGAGGATTAGTGTACAGATTTCATCATGCAGGTCATAAGCATAATATCCAATAGAGAGATTTTTAATCTTCACCTTCCTTTCACACCCCACCTCAAGTAGGGCCCAGTGTCTGTTGTTCTCTTGTTTCCATGCCTGCTCAGTGTTCAGCTCCCATTTAAAAGTGAGAACATGCAATATTTGGCTTTCTGTACCCGCATTAATTCACTTAGCATAGTGGCCTCTAGCTGCATTCACGTTGCCTCAAAGGACTTGATTTCATCTTTTCTATGGCAGATTATTATTCCATGGTGTATACATACTAGTTTTTTTTTTTTTCCTACTCCACCACTGACGAGCATTTAAGTTGATTCCAAGTCTTTGTTATTGTGAAGAGTGCTGTAATAAGCACATGTTTACAAGAGTCTTTAAGGTAGAACAATTTATATTTCTCTGGGTATAGAGCCAATAATGGGATTTCTGGGCCCAATGGTAATCCTGTTTTAAGTTTGAGCAATCTCTAAACTGCTTTCCATAGTGGCTGAACTAATTTACATTCCCACTAGCGGTGTATAAGCATTCCCTTTTCTCCACAACCTCACCAACATCTGTTATTTTTTTTGACTTTTTAAAATAGCCATTCTGACTGGAGTGAGATAGTATTTCATTGTGATTTTGATATGTCATGTGTATTTCTTCTTTTAAAAGGTGTTTGTTAATGTCTTTTGCCCATGTTTTAATGGGGTTGTTTGTTTTTTGCTTGTACATTGGTTTAAGTTCCTTATAGATGCTAGATCTTTGTCAGATGCATAGTTTGCAAATATATTCTCCCATTCTGTACATTGTCTGTTCGTTCACTCTGTTGATAGTTTCTTTTGTTGTGGAGAAGCTCTTAAGTTTAATTAGATACCATTTGTCAAGTTTTGTTTTTGTAGCAATTGCTTTTGGCATCTTCATCATGAAATGTTTGTCATTCTGCCTGGTGTGAGATGGTATCTAATTGTGGTTCTTATTTGCCTTTCTATAATGATCAAAGATTTTGAACATTTTTTCATAGGTTTGTTGGCCACATGTATGTCATCTTTTGAGAAGTGTTAGTTCACAGTTTTGCTCAGTTTTTAATGAGGGTGTTCGGTTTTTGCTGGTTAATTTGTTTGAGTTTCTAATAGTTTCTGGATGTTAGACCTTTGTCAGATACATAGTTTGCAAATATTTTCTTCCATTCTGTAGGGTGTCTGTTTACACTGTTGATAGTTTCTCTTGCTATGTAAAAGATCTTTCATTTAATTAGGTACAACTTGTCTATTTTTTTGTCTTTGGCCAGGCACAGTAGTTCACGCCTGTAATCCCAGAGTTTAGGAGGTCGAGGTCTGAGGATCACTTGAACCCAGGAGTTCAAGACCAGCCTGAAGAACACAGAGATACCCTGTCCCTATTAAAAAATTTTAAAAATAGCCAGGCATTGTAGCACACACAGAAAATAAAAATTAGCCAGGCATTGTGGCATATGCCTTCAGCCTACTTAGAAGGCTGAAGTGGGGGGATTGCTTGAGCCCAGGAGATAGAGGCTACAGAGGCTGCAGTGGGCAATTATTACACCACCTCACCCCAGCCTGAGTGACAGAGTGAGACCTTGTCTCTCAAAAAAAAAAAAAAAATGGTTTTGATGCCACTCCTTTTGGAGTCTTTGTTATGAAGTCTCTACCAGGGCCTATGTCCAGAATGGTATTTTTAGTCTTTGTTATGAAGTCTCTGCCAGGGTCTATGTCCAGAATGGTATTTACTGGGTTTTTTTTAGGGATTTTTATAGTTTTAGATTTTACATTTAAGACTTTAACCCATCTTCAGTTTATATTTGTATATACTGAAAGGAAGGGGAACAGTATCAATCTTCTGGATATGGCTAACCAGCTATCCTAGAACCACTTATTGAATAGAGTCCTTTCTCCATTGCTTATTTTTGTTGACTTTGTCAAAAATAAGATGGCTGCAGATGGAGCTTTATTTCCAAGTTCTCTATTCTGTTCCATTGGTCTATGTGTCTGTTTTTGTACTAGTAACATGCTGTTGTGGTTACTGTGGCCTTGCAGCATAATATAAAGTTGGGTAGTGTGATGTCTCTGGCTTTGTTCTTTTTGTTTAAGATTACTGTGTCTAATTGGGCTCCTTTTTAGTTCTACGTGAATTTTAGAATAGTTTTTTTTTTAATTCTGTTAAAAATGTGTTGGTATTTTGATAGGAATAACATTGAATCTGTAAATTGCTTTGGGCAGTATAATCACTTTAACAATATTGATTCTTTCTATCCATGAGTATGAAATATTTTTCTGTTTGTGTCATCTCTGATTTCTTTAAGCAGTGTTTTATAGTTCTCCTTGTAGAGACATTTTACCTCTCTAGTTAACTCTGTTCTTAGGTAGTTTATTCTTTTTTCAGTTATTGTGAATGAAATTACATTCTTGATTTGGCTGTCAGTTTGGACATATTGATGTATAGAAATGCTACTGATTTTTGTAAATTTATTTTGTATCTTGAAACTTTGCTGAACCTTTTTTTTATCAGATGTAAAAGGCTTTGGGCAGAGACTATGGGGTTCTCTAGGCATAGAAACATCATTAACGAAGAGAAATAGTTTTACTTCCTCTCTTCTTACTTGGATGTCTTTTAGTTCCTTCTCTTGCCTGACTGGTCTGGCTAGGACTTCCAGTACTACGGTGAATAAAGGGTGAGAGTGGGCATACTTATCTTGTTCTGGTTCTCAAGGGGAATGTGTCCAGCTTTTGCTCATTAAATAGGATGCTGGCTGGGGGTTTGTCACAGATGACTCATTATTTTGAGGTATGTTCTTTTGATGCTTAATTTGTTGAGTGTTTTTAACATGAAGAGATGTTAAATTTTATCAAAAGCCTTTTCTCTATCTATTGAGATGATTGTGTGGTTTCTCTTTATGTTATGAATCATAGTTATTGATTTTTGGGTATTGTATCAACCTTGCACCCCCAAAATAAAGCCTACTTGGTCATGATAGATTGGCTGTTTGATGTGATGCTGGATTTGGTTTGCTAGTATTTTGTTGAGGATTTTCACATCCATGTTCATCAGAAATATTGGCAGGAAGTTTTCATTTTTTGGGGGGTGCTTCTAGATTCTGGTGTTAGAATGATGCTGGCCTCATAGAATGATTATAGAGGAGAGTTCCTTCTCCTGAACTTTTTTTGGGGGAATAGTTTCAGATTCCCCAAATAGATTTGTATCAGATTTTTACAATATATCTGGTAGAATTTGGCTGTGAATCCTTCTGGCCTAGGCCTTTTCCTGGTTGACAGCTATTTGTTACTGATTTAATTTCCAAACTTCATATTGTTCTGCTCAGTGTTTTATTTTCTGTTTCAAGATTGGGAGGTTGAATATTTTCAGGAACTTATCTATTTCTTTTAGGTTTTCTAGTTTGTGTGCATAGAGGTGTCTGCAATACTCTTTGAGAGGTTTCTCAATTTCTGATGGGTTAGTGGTAATGTCCCCTTTGTCATTTCTGATTGTGTTGATTTGGAATGTTTCCTTTTTTTTAATTATTAGTCTACCTAGGGATGTATTATTCTTATTTATTTTTTCAGATAGAAAACTTTTGGTTTTGTTGATTTGTTGTATATTTTTGGTCCCTTAATTTTATTCCATTCAGGTTTTATTTTGATTATTTATTTTCTTCTGCTAGCTTTAGAGTTGGTTTACTCTTGTTTACTCTAGATCCTCTAGGTGTAATATTAGTTTGTTAGCTTGACTTTTTAACTGTTTAATTTTGGATGTAGTTTTTAGTGCTATAGACTTCCCCTTAACACTGGTTTAGCTGTGTACCAGAGATTCTAGCAGGTTATATCTTTGTTTACATCTGTTTTGAATAATTTCATGGTTTCTACTTTATTATGTTGTTTACTTAAAAGTCTTTCAGGAGCATATTTTAAAATTTATATGTAATTGTATGGTTTTGAGAGATCTCTTTGACATTGTTTTCTATTTTTATTGCACTGTGTTCTGACAGTGTGGTTAGTATGAGTTTAATTCTTTTTAATTTGTTGCAAAGAATTGCTTTGTGGCCAAGTGTGTAGTCAATCTTAGAATATATGCCATGTACAGAGGAGAATAATGTATATCCTGGTGATGTTGGATGAAGTGTTCTATAGATGTCTATTAGGTCCATTTGGTTAAGTGTCAAATCTGGGTTCTGAATAACTTCATTAGTTTTCTTGCTCAATGATCTGTCTAATATTGGACAGTGGAGTGTTGAAATCTCCCACTATTATTGTATTGTTATCTAACTATCTTTGTAGGTCTCTAAGAACTTGTTTTATGAATCTGGGGCTCCCATGTTGGGTATATATATATATTTAGGATAGTTAAGTCTTCTTATTGAATTGAACCGTTTATCATTACATAATTCCCTTCTTTCTTCTCTTTTCTTGTTGATGCTTTAAAGTCTGTTTTTTTCTGAAATAAGAATAGCAACCCAAGCTCTTTTTTGTTTTTCACTTGCTTAGTAGATTTTTCTCTGTCCCTTTATTTTGAGTCTATGGGTGTCATTGCATATGAGATGGATTTCTTGAAGGCAGCACACAGTTGGGTCTTGTTTCTTTCTACAACTTGCCACTCTAAAATTTAAGTGGGGTGTTTAGCCCATATATGTTCAAGGTTAATATTGATATGTGTGTATTTCATCCTTTCATGCTAGTTGGTTGTTATATAGAATTTATTGTGCAGTTATTTCATAGTGTCAATCGTCTATGTACTTGTCTATGTGTCTTTCATCTATGTGTCCTTGTGGTGGCTGGTAACACTCTTTTGTTTCCATATTCAGCTCTCCATTAAGGACCTGTTGTAAGGCTGGTGTGGTGGTAGCAAATTCCTTAGCATTTCTTAGTCTGAAAAGGATTTTATTTCACCTTCATTTATGAAGCTTAGTTTGGTTGGATATGAAATTATTGGTTGCAATTTATTTTCTTTAAGGATGCTGAATATAGGTCCACAGTCTTTTCTGGCTTGCAGGGTTTCAGTTGAAAGGTCCACTGTTAGCATGATGGGGTTTGCTTTGTAGGTAACCTGCCCCTTCTTTCTAGCTGCCTTTTATATTTTTTCTTTCATGTTGACCTTGAAGAACCTGATGAATATGTGTCTTGGGTATGGTTGTCTTGTAGGGTATTTCACAAGGCTTCTCTAAATTTCCTGAATTTGAATGTTGATCTCTCTAGTGAGCTTGCGTAAACTTTTATGGACACTGTCTTCAAATATATTTCCAAGTTGCTTGCTCTTTCTTTCTCCCTTTCATGGATGCCAAGGAGTCATAGGTTTGGTTTTTTTACATAATCTCATATTTCTCAGAGGCTTTGTTCATTATTTATTCTTCATTTTTTGTTTGATTGAGTTGATTCTAAAAGCCAGTCTTTGAGCGCTGACATTCTTCCCTCAGCTTGGTCTAGTCCGCTGTTAATATTTCTGAGTGTATTATGAAATTCTTGCAGTGAGGTTTTCAGGTCTATTAGATAAGGCTGGTACTTTCTTTTTTTACTTTGTTTGTTTGTTTTTAATTTTCATTTTTATTTCTTCTAAAAAAAATGCAATATGTGTGCAGAATGTGCAGGTTTGTTATGGAGGTATACATGTGCCTTGGTGGTTTGCTACACCTATTGACCTATCTTCTAAGTTCCCTCCACTCACCCCCCATCCCCCAACAGGCTCTGGTGTGTGTTGTTCCCTGCCTTGTGTCCATGGGTTCTCAATATTCAACTCCCACTTATGAGTCAGAACATGCACTGTTTGGTTTTCTGTTCCTGTGTTAGTTTGCTGAGGATGATGGCTTCCAGCTTTATCCATGTTGCTGCAAAGGACCTTTATCCATGTTCCTGCAAAGAAGACCATGTATAGCCAAGACCATCCTAAGCAAAAAGAACAGAGCTGGAGGCATCATGCTACCTGACTTCAAACTGTACTAGAAGACTACAGTAACCAAAACAGCGTGTTACTGGTACCAAAACAGACATATAGACCAATGGAGCAGAACAGAGACCTCAGAAATAATACCACACATCTACAACCATCTGACCTTCGATGAACCTGACAAAAACAACCAATGGGGAAAAGATCTCCTATTCAGTAAATGATGCAGGGAAAACTGTCTAGCCATATGCAGAAAACTGAAACTGGACACCTTCCTTACACCTTATAAAAAAATTGACTCAGAATGGATTAAAAACTTAAATATAGGACAAAGGTTCCAAGATGGTCAAATAGGAACAGCTCCAGTCTACAACTCCCAGCATGAGCGACACAGAAGACGGGTGTTTTCTGTATTTCCAACTAAGCAAACAGCACACTAGGATATTTTATCCCGTGCCTGGCACGGAGGGTCCCACGCCCACAGAGCCTCACTCACTGCTAGCACAGCAGTCTGAGATTGAACTGCAAGGTGGTAGCAAGGCTGGGGGAGGGGCGTCTGCCATTGTTGAGGCTTGAGTAGGTAAACAAAGTGGCTGGGAAGCTCGAACTGGGTGGAGCCCACTGCAGTTCAAGGAGGCCTGCCTGCCTCTGTAGACTCCACCTCTGCGGGCAGGGCATAGCTGAAGAAAAGGCAGCAGAAACTTCTGCAGGATTAAACATCCCTGTCTGACAGCTTTGAAGAGAGTAGCAGTTCTCCCAGCACACAGTTTGAAACCTGAGAACTGACAGACTGCCTCCTCAAGTGGGTCCCTGAACCCCGAGTAGCCTTACTGGGAGACACCTCCCAGTAGGGGCCAACTGACACTTCATACAGCCAGGTGCCCCTCTGAGATGAAGCTTCCAGAGGAAGGATCAGACAGCAATATTTGCCATTCTGCAATATTTGCTGCTCTGCAGCTTCCACTGGTGATACCCAGGCAAACAGCGTCTAGAGTGGACCTCCACCAAACTCAAACAGACCTGCAGCTGAGGGTCCTGACTGTTAGAAGGAAAACTAACAAACAGAAAGGGCAGCCACACCAAAACCCCATCTGTACTTCACCATCATCAAAGACCAAAGGTATATAAAACCACAAAGATGGGGAGAAACCAGGGCAGAAAAGCTGAAAATTCTAAAACTCAGAGCACCTCTTCTCCTCCAAAGGAACACAGCTCCTCACCAGCAATGGAAAAAAGCTGGATGGAGAATGACTTTGACGAGTTTAGAGAAGAAGTCTTTAGACGATCAATAATAACAAACTTCTCTGAACTAAAAGAGGATGTTTGAACCCATCGCAAAGAAGCTAAAAACCTTGAAAAAAGATTAGATGAATGGCTAACTGGAATAAACAGTGTAGAGAAGACCTTAAATGACCTGATGGAGCTGAAAACCATGGCACGAGAACTACGTGACGCATGCACAAGCTTCAGTAGCCGATTTGATCAAGTGGAAGAAAGGGTATCAGTGATTGAAGATCAAATGAATGAAATGAAGTGAGAAGAGAAGTTTAGAGAAAAAAGAGTAAAAAGAAATGAACAAACCTCCAAGAAATATGGGACCACGTGAAAAGACCAAATCTACGTCTGATTGGTGTACCTGAAAGTGATGAGGAGAATGGAATCAAGTTGGAAAACACTCTTCAGGATATTATCCAGGAGAACTTCCCCAACCTAGCAAGGCAGGCCAACATTCAAATTCAGGAAATACAGAGAACACCACAAAGATACTCCTTGAGAAGAGCAACTCCAAGACACATGATTGTCAGATTCACCAAAGTTGAAATGAAGGAAAAAATGTTAAGGGCAGCCAGGGAGAAAGGTTGTGTTACCCACAAAGGGAAGCCCATCAGACTAACAGCAGATTTCTCAGCAGAAACTCTACAAGCCAGGAAAGAATGGGGGCCAATATTCAACATTCTTAAAGGAAAAAATTTTCAACCCAGAATTTCATATCCAGCCAAACTAAGCTTCATAAGTGAAGGAGAAATAAAATCCTTTGCAAACAAACAAATGCTGAGAGATTTTGTCACCACCAGGCCTGCCTTACAAGAGCTCCTGAAGGAAGCACTAAACATGGAAAGGAAAAACTTGTACGAGCCACTGCAAAAACATGCCAAATTGTAAAGACTATCAATGCTAGAAAGAAACTGCATCAACTAACAAGCAAAATAACCAGCTAACATCATAATGACAAGATCAAATTCACACATAACAATATTAACCTTAAATGTAAATGGGCTAAATGCTCCAATTAAAAGACACAGACTGGCAAATTGGATAAAGAGTAAAGCCCCATCACTGTGCTGTATTCAGGAGACCCATTTCACATGCAAAGACACACATAGGCTTAAAATAAAGGGATGGAGGAACATCTACCAAGCAAATGGAAAACAAAAAAAAGCAGGGGTTGCAATCCTAGTCTCTGATACAACAGACTTTAAACCAACAAAGATCAAAAGAGACAAAGAAGGCCTTTACATAATGGTAAAGGAATCAATTCAACAAGAAGAGCTAACTATACTAAATATATATGCACCCAATACAGAGCACCCACATTCATAAAGCAAGCCCTTAGAGACCTACAAAGAGACTTAGAGTCCCGCACAATAATAATGGGAGACTTTAACACCCCACTGTCAACATTAGACAGATCAATGAGACAGAAAGTTAACAAGGATATCCAGGAATTGAACTCAGCTCTGCACTAAGCAGACCTAATAGACATCTATAGAACTCTCCACCCCAAATCAACAGAGTATACATTCTTCTCAGCACCACAACACACTTATTCCAAAATTGACCACATAGTTGGAAGTAAAGCACTCCTCAGCAAATGTAAAAGAACAGAAATTGTAACAAACTGTATCTCAGACCACAGTGCAATCAAACTAGAACTCAGCATTAAGAAACTCACTTAAAATTGTTCAACTACATGGAAACTGAACAACCTGCTCCTGAATGACTGCTGGGTACATAACGAAATGAAGGCAGAAATAAAAGAAATAAAGATGTTTTTTGAAACCAATGAGAACAAAGACACAACATACCAGAATCTCTGGGACACATTTAAAGCAGTGTGTGAGGGAAATTTATAGCACTAAATGCCCACAAGAGAAAGCAGGAAAGATCTAAAATTGACACCCTAACATCACAATTAAAAGAACTAGAGAAGCAAGAGCAAACAAATTGAAAAGCTAGCAGAAGGCAAGAAATAACTAAGATCAGAGCAGAACTGAAGGAGATAGAGACACAAAAAACCCTTCAAAAAATCAGTGAAACCAGGAGCTGGTTTTCTGAAAAGATCAACAAAATTGATAGACGGCTAGCAAGACTAATAAAGAAGAAAAGAGAGAAGAATCAAATAGACACAATAAAAAATGATAAAGGGGATATCACCAGTGATCCCACAGAAATACAAATTATCCTCAGAAAATACTATAAACACCTCTACACAAATAAACTAGAAAATCTAGAAGAAATGGATAAATTCCTGGACACATACATCCTCCCAAGACTAAACCAGGAAGAAGTTGAATCCCTGAATAGACCAATAACAGGTTCTGAAATTGAGGCAATAATTAAAAGCCTACCAACTAAAAAAAGTCCAGGACCAAACGGATTCATAGCCGAATTCTACCAGAGGTACAAAGAAGAGCTGGTACCATTCCTTCTGAAACTATTCCAATCAATAGAAAAAGAGGGAATCCTCCCTATCTCATTTTATGAGGCCAGCATCATCCTGATATGAAAGCCTGACAGAGACACAACAAAAAAAGAGAATTTTATACCAATATCCCTGACGAACATCGATGCAAAAATCCTCAGTAAAATACTGGCAAACTGAATCCAGCAGCACATCAAAAAGCTTATCCACCATGATCAAGTTGGCTTCATCCCTGGGATGCAAGGCTGGTTCAACATACACAAATCAATAAACGTAATCCATCATATAAACAGAACCAAAGACAAAAACCACATGATTATCTCAATAGATGCAGAAAATGCCTTTGACAAAATTCAACAAACCTTCATGCTAAAAACTCTCAATAAACAACATATTGATGGGACATATCTCAAAATAATCAGAGCTATTTATGACAAACCTACAGGCAATATCATACTGAATGGGCAAAAACTGGAAGCATTCCCTTTGAAAACTGGCACAAGACAGGGATTCCCTCTCTCACCAATCCTATTCAACATAGTGTTGGAAGTTCTGGCCAGGGCAATCAGGCAGGAGAAAGAAATAAATGGTATTCAATAAGGAAAAGAGGAAGTCAAATTGACTCTTTTGCAGATGACATGATTGTATATTTAGAAAACTCTATTGTCTCAGCCCAAAATCTCCTTAAGCTGATAAGCAACTTTATAGCAAAGTCTCAGGATACAAAATCAATGTGCAGAAATCACAAGCATTCCTATACACCAATAACAGACAAACAGAGAGCCAAATTATGAGTGAACTACCATTCACAATTGCTTCAAAGAGAATAAAATACTTAGGAATCCAAGTTGCAAGGGATATGAAGGATGTCTTCAAGGAGAACTACAAACCACTGCTCAGTGAAATAAAAGAGGACACAAACAAATGAAAGAACATTCCATGCTCATTGATAGGAAGAATCAATATCATGAAAATGGCCATACTGTCCAAGGTAATGGATAGATTCAATGCCATCCCCATCAAGCTACCAATGACTTTCTTCACAGAATTGGAAAAAACTACTTTAAAGTTCATATGGAACCAAAAAAGAGCCCACATTGCCAAGAAAATCCTAAGCCAAAAGAACAAAGCTGGAGGCATCACGCTACCTGACTTCAAACTATACTATAAGGCTATAGTAACCAAAACAGCATGGCACTGGTACCAAAACAGAGATATAGACCAATGGAACAGAAGAGAAGCCTCAGAAATAATACCACACATCTACAACCATCTGATCTTTGACAAACCTGACAAAAACAAGAAACGGGGAAAGGATTCCCTATGTAATAAATGGTGCTGGAAAAACTGGCTAGCCATATGTAGAAAGCTGAAACTGGATCCCTTCCTTACATCTTATATAAAAATTAATTCAAGATGGATTAAAGACTTAAATGTTAGATCTAAAACTATGAAAACCCTAGAAGAAAACCTAGGCAATACCATTCAGGACATAGGCATGGGCAAGGACTTCATGACTAAAACACCAAAAGCAATGGCAACAAAAGCCAAAATTGACAAATGGGATCTAATTAAACTAAAGAGCTTCTGCACAGCAAAAGAAACTACTGTCAGAGTGAACAGGCAATCTACAGAATGGGAGAAAATTTTCGCAACCTACTCATCTGACAAAGGGCTAATATCCAGAATCTACAAAGAACTTAAACAGATTTACAAGAAAAAATAAAACAACCCCATCAAAAACCGGGCACAGGATATGAACAGACACTTCTCAAAAGAAGACATTTATGCAGCCAACAGACACATGAAAAAATGCTCATCATCACTGGCCATCAGAGAAATGCAAATCAAAACCACAATGAGATACCATCTCACACCAGTTAGATGCTGATCGTTAAGCAGCCAGGAAACAACAGGTGCTGGAGAGGATGTGGAGAAATAGGAACACTTTTACACGTTGGTGGGACTGTAAAATAGTTCAGCCATTGTGGAAGACAGTGTGGCAATTCCTCAAGGATCTAGAACTAGAAATACCATTTGACCCAGCCATCCCATTACTGGGTATATACCCAAAGGATTATAAATCATGCTTCTATAAAGACACATGCACACATATGATTATTGCAGCACTATTCACAATAGCAAAGGCTTGGACTCAACCCACATGTCCATCAATGATAGACTGGATTAAGAAAACGTGGCACATATACACCATGGAATACTATGCAGCCATAAAAATAATGGGTTCATGTCCTTTGTAGGGACATGGATGAAGCTAGAAACCATCATTCTAAGCAAACTATCACAAGGACAGGAAACCAAACACTGCATGTTCTCACTCATAGGTGGGAATTGAACAATGACAACACTGGGACACAGGGTGGGGAACATCACACACGGGGGCCTGTCATGGGGTGGTGGGAGGGGGGAGGGATAGCATTAGGGGATATACCTAATATAAATGATGAGTTAATGGGTGCAGCACACCAACATGGCACATGTATACATATGTAACAAACCTGCACATTGTGCACATGTACCCTAGAACTTAAAGCATAATAATAACAATAAATTAAAGAAAAAAAACTTAAACATAAAACCCCAAACCATAAAAACCCTAGAAGAAAATCTACGCAACACCATTCAGGACATAGGCATGGGCAAAGTCTTCATGATGAAAATGCCAAAAGCAATTGCAACAAAAGCCAAAATTGACAAATGGAATCTAAACTAAAAATCTTCTATACAGCAAAAGAAACTATCATCAGAGTGAACAGGCAACTTACAGATTTGGAGAAAATTTTTGCAATCTACCCATCTGACAAAAGTCTAACATCCAGAATTTACAAGGAACTTAAACATATTTACAAGAAAAAAGATCCCCATCAAATAGTGAGTACAGGATATGAACAGACACTTCCTAAAAGAAGACATTTATGTGGCCAACAAACATATGAAAAAATGCTCAAGATTGCTGATTATTACAAGGTTGATACTTTCTTAAAATGGCTATTTTTGTTTTTCGGGGTTTATATTATTTTATCGAATTCCTTTGATTCTTTGCATTGGGTTTCAACTGTCTCCTGAGTCTCAATGATCTTTGTTACGATACAGATTCTGAATTCTATGTTGGTCATTTTAGTCATTTTGGTCTGGTTATAAACCGTTCCTGGGGAATAGGTGCAGTTTTTTGGAAACAAGAAGACACTCTGGCTTTTTGAGTTTCTGGGATTCTTATACTAGTTCTTTCTCATAAGTGTGGGCTGGGGTTAAGTTCCTTTAATCTTTGAAGTTGTTGTCCTTTGAATGGGGCTTTTTGCAAGTGTATTCTTTGATGCTTTTGAGTGTTTGACTGTGTTCGATTTTGCACTCACTAGATTGGCTTAATTTCTGGATGATTTCAGGGGGACAAAGCTTAGTTCAGCACTCCTGAGCTGTGTGATCTTACACTGGAGGGTTGAGAACTGGCCCACAGCTCTGTTCTCTGGCCCTCGAGCTTAAGCACCCGCTGCGCTGGAGAGACAGAAATGTTCCTGGTCCCCTGGCAACAACACTCTGGTTGGCGGGGGCAGGGGTGCTGGCAAGAATGCTTCTTTGGCGCAGTGATGGCTAATATAAGCAAAATGGTGGGAGGTGGCTGTAGGCAAGTGCATGTTGGCAAAGTCGTGGAGGGATGCTGTGGATGCATGTGAGCCAGTGGAGGCCCATCTGCAGAAGCTCTCTGACAGGAGGGGTTACTTGTGGAGGAGCTATGGCAGTGGCCTCTGGGAAGCACCTTGTTGGGCATCTGAAACTGCCACAAGTGAATGCGACCAGGCAGGAGCCTGGGAGAGGCTAGCAGATAGAAGGACACTCAGATCAGACTGGCCCCATCCCAAAGGTAAGAGGGCCCTGTTCTGTCCAGATCTGACAGTCAACAAAGGGCAAAGCCACCTAGAGGAATGTGGCAAGACTTGGGAGATGGGCGTCCCTGGCTGTGCTCCACTTCAGCCATTCCTGCATCAAATCCTCTGGGTTCTCCACTGGCTGGAGTCCTGTTCCTTCCAACTGTCCAAGCAGCTTTTTCTGTCTGCTCAAATGTCTGTGGGGGTCATGGGGTCTCCTGCAGCTAGGATTCTGGAAGTCCATGGTGAGGGTGGGCCACTCCACACCTTTCAAACTCACACCTTTTTCAGGAGTCACTTGAGGCCAAGAAGGAGTCCTGGTGGTTGACAACCATATACAATGTTCCTAGCTTTCTCCCACTTCAGTGCAGGGTCTATGTTGTCCCTGTATCCACTCTCAATGCCTTCCTTCCATAGATCTGTCCAGAGTGTGCTCGTCTTCTTGGTAACCTGGTCTCTCACTGGAAGAAGATATTCCTGGCTCCATCTAGTCAGCCATCTTTGTTTCCATCAATTTTTCAACATACTTTTTCAAACTACATTTTGCTATCTAACACACTAGAAAATCTTCTCCAACTCTTTTATGCCTATCCCCACCCCAAACAAGATTAGCCTTTTTCACTGTGATCTCCTGTTTGTATCTGTGATTACCCAATATCCCGTATTCCAGATAAGGATTGTTGCAAACTGATGTTCAACCAAATGTAATTCAATGATGAAGGTCCTTAAGTCCTCCTTATCTTCTTGCCTTGAATTTAGGCATTCCCTAAATTTCTAAATGTGATTCTCTTTTTTTCGTTTTGTTTTCTTCTTTGGAAAAATTGTGCATTTCTGTGATTTCAATTTTTAAAATTTATCATCAGGCTTCAAGTGAGCTGACTAGAATCATTTCATACTCGCCCCTCCAGTAGAAAGAAGTAAAATAGTGAGTAGATAATCACACTTTGAATAGCTCACCCAAGGTAAACACAGTAATTCAATAGAAAAGTGACAGGAAATGCCTAAAGCAATGTAGGAGAGGAAAGGAGGCAGCATGGTCATCCAAGACTGGCTGCAGCTGAGACTGACTCCCCAATGTGGACAAAGGGTAAGTGAGAGAACCTCAGTAGTCCACATTCCAACTGTGCACTCCTGTAATCTTAGCCACAGGAGAGCCCCTCAATCCTTGCAGGTTGTGAATTTAACATCGGAACATGCTAAGAGATTGTGCAATGGCACTGTGCCAGGAAGAGATCTCATGCTGGGTTCTATACACTTGTTAAAACCTAAGCAGCTAACATAAGGTGCCATTTTACAGCCGTGTCCTCAACAGAGTCCACACAATCCTAGGGCCCAGTGGCACTGGGGCTGAGGCTCAAGAGAAGCAAGGGCTGCTGCCCCTGGAGCTGAGGCATGAGCAAGGCACAGACTGCTGCAGCTTGGGCTGAAGTGCAACTTAGACATGGGCTACTGCCATAGGAGCTGAGGCGCAAGCATTACAGCACTGAGGCCTAAGCTGTGTGTTAATTCTACATGTTCCAGGCTAGAGTGCCACTGGTGAATTTAGCTCCACCCTCCTCAGTGTCAAGGCAGCAAAACAGCTATTACTATCCCCTCACCTGAACATTCTTCTGGTGGCTGGGGAATAGTCTTGACCTTCCCAACACAGCTAGCACTTGCATACACCTTTGGGATGCCTGAGAACAACCCCACCTGACTTGGCTTCATACCCCACACATTCCAGGACATACAGTCTAGGGGCCAGAGGATTGCTCAGCCCAATCAATCACCATTGGCACATAACCATTTCTCCTGGCAGATGGAGGATGGGACTACCCACCCTGCTGCCACCACCACAGTTTACACCTATCTGAACGTGCCACCTGCTGGCCTGGAGACTGGCTTGCTCAGCCCATTACAGCCACTGCGAACACAAAAACACATCACTTGGGAGCCAAAAGGCCAGTGGCCACTACCACTAACATTACCCTGCTAAACTTGGCAGTCCAGAGGCCAAAGAACACATCTACCTGCCCAGCATACCACTGCCACCATTGACTTCTGAGTAAGGATCTGGAAGCCAAAGAATAGACTTGCCTGGACCCCCTACACATACACCACATACACCACTCAGAGGCCCAAAAGACAGGTACACTTAGCCAACCACTGCCACCCCCCATGTCCCAAAAACTGGCCTATGTGGTATCCCCATCTCCAGCAAAACATCATTGCGGCATCCACTAATAACCACAACTATGCTACCAAAGAAATTATAAGACAACCCTGAATCTGTTTGCTGCAAAAGAAATTATATATATAGTACACCACTTTGTGCACCCAGAATCAAAGTCACACTGTCCTACCCAACCAATACCACAGACACATCTTTAGGAAGTTGTTTGCCCTTGTGAAAAAAAAAAAAAACTTTGAAAAATTGGAAGAAGCAACCATTTCACCAGATGCACAGATACCAACATAAAGACATAAGACACATGAAAAAGCAAAGAAATATGACACCTCCAAAGGAATACAATAATTCTCCAGCAAAAGATCTCAATCAAAAACAAATTTTAAAAATCCCAGAAAAAGAATTCAAATATTTACACTAAAGAATTTCAATGGGATGTAAGAAAATTCTGATAAACAATAAAAATAAAATAGAAAAACAGTTCAGGATGTAAAGAGAAATTCACCTAAGAGACAAATATCAACAATATATTGGATTTTTGTATAATGCAGCTAGAAGAGAGGACATGAATTGCTACCAACCTATAGAAATGATAAATACTCAAGGCGATTGCTATCCCAAATACTCTGACTTTATTATACGTTTTATGCATGTAACAAATACTCATATGTATACCATAAATATGTAAAATATCATGTATCGAAAAAAGAAAAAAATTAAATTAAAATTAGAAAGTACTATAGTATCAAATAATAACCTTATAGCTATGTAAAAGAATAATTTATTTTGAACCTCTGATTTTTTTAAAATCACAATGCATAGGTTGCTTTTAAAATTCTATGTCCTTCATTTTGTGTCATTCCAGGTATAACTTTTTAAATGATATAATTTTTTAAATTAGAAAATATACTACAGAGACACATCTCAGTAGTATAAACTACACATCTCAGTAGTATAAACTACACATTATGTTTTCTTTATACTCTTAGAAATCATCGGTTTAGAAGACTGTATCTGTACCCACAATGTAAGGTGAATATATAAGACAACTTTTTAAATGGTGCTGCTTTTTTCTTTACTAAATGATATTAGGTCCTAAAATATACAAATAATTAAATTCCAATCATATGTTTTAGCTTTAAAATGTATCATAATAGAATTCTGACATCTCCCTAGAATTATAATTATGAATTCTAACTGACTGCTGGATGTTTTCGTCTAGAAACTCAATCGAACAGATGGAGAGACATTTAGAACAAATACCATACTTTTATTATTTCTTATTCTTAGAATATTGTTTAGGTTCCCAATCTAGTTGATAACCTCAAGAGTAAATAACCAAGTTTGTTATCTTCCAAACTTGCTTCTACTCTTGACTTCTTAATTACTACCATATCCCCAGAAATTAGTCCAGGTAGCTCATAATCATTATCTATCTATTGCACGCTCACCCTCATAGATAAATCCTGTAATTCCTACTTCCCCAAAGCTTTTTTACTATGTTTTTTCATTCCTTTCTCTTATGTTATGTTCATGTCATCACATTAAGTAGAAGCTTTCCTACATTCAACCTAGAAATCTCTAACAGCTTCTTTCCTGTTTATTTGTAATGTTTACTACATATATTTCCTGATTGGTTACATAAGATTCAAAATGATAAATGTCCTCCAAAATTTGCATTAATCATATTATTTTATTCCCTAAAAATGTGATTTTTTTCATGACTTATAGTATTATCTGAAGACCAAAAAATAAAACTTTAAAAACACAGTAGATCTCAAGGTAAAATTGTCTTCAAAAATATTTGAAATAATATTTAGTAAAGATTTAGAGTCCTATTAATGAAAGTATGGAATAGAGTCACCTGGAATAAAGAGGAAAAAAGAACGGAAGGACAATTGTAGTAAATACAGTAAGAAAATACAATCTCAACCTGATCACATTAGGAAAGATGTTATTTCAGACCAACATAAAATCATAAATTTTGAGTCAATTGCACTGAAATCAAATTGCCTTTTCACTATATCTAAATTTTCAGATTTAAACCTTCTTCAAGATTTTATATGCTTATAAGTATACTTTGCAATTATTAAATTTGTCCTACTCAATATGATACAAGTCAGTGGAGTACTGTAGCCCAAACTAGCATGTTTTGTAAGCCTAAGAGGAATTTTGGTTGTTACACAGGTGGGCTGAGCTGTTGAAGTTTATAGGTTAGGGCTAGAGTTACTAGCCACCATATTCTGTATAGGGCAGTCCCATCTCTGAATATTTTCAGATGTTTTAGGAAACGGTTTTATAAGTTAAAGGACTATTTTTAACATTTCAAGACTTAGCTACACTTGCATATTAATATATACTATTTTTGCATGTTTATTTCCAAATATACTTTGAAGTTTTTAGTAAGAAAATTATAGCAGGCCCTCAAAAAATTTCATCTAGTTCAATGTTGTTTTATTATGACATTGATGAGAAAAGAATAATAATGATACTTCACTAGGGCCTCTGTCTGTGTGGAGTTTGCCCATTCTCCCCATGTCCTCCTGGGTTTTCTCCAGGTACGCTGGCTTCATCCCACATTCCAAAGATGTGCATAGTAGGTGAATTGGTGTTTAAATTTTCCTGGTCTGAGTGAGTGTGGGTCTGTGTGTGAATGTGCCCTGTGATGGAATTGGTTTCCTGTTCAAGGTGAGTTCCTTCCTTGCATCCTAAGCTGCCCAGATAAGCTTTGGCTACCCAGTATCCTGAACTGGAATAATTGGGTAAATAATTATCTGACTTGTTTTTATTAACCTTTCTTAAATGTACGTATAGCTCACATTTCTTTAAATGTTTAATATCAGAAATATTTTGGTCTTTCTTTAGAAGTTTGGTGATGTTTTTGTGACCAGAAATATGCCATAAAAGCTTTAGATCAATTAGCTTATGGGAAAATTGGTTTTAATATACATTATTTTACTTAAAGTTGCCATTTCCAAGACCTTAGGTGAGCACTCGCTGTACTTAATAAATTGAAAGGAGACTTTTGTTTCAAATGAAATTTTACCAAGTTTATTTCAGATTTCAGAAAAATCATCATTTTGGTGCCACCAGTATTTGTGATATTTGCATCACTCATAAAATCTCCTCATATCAGTCTGTGTTCATAGCTCTTACACTCTTAGCAATAGTAGTTTAAGTACAAGCATTTGATTTCTGCATGATAATATCAGGCTGAGTCAAGCTCAAGCACTTATACATTGCGATACAAATTATTGCTTAATAAGTTACTTATGTTTTTCCTTTATGTGATAGAACATGTACTTTCTTTGTTTTAGGTTATACACATTTCATCCACGATTTTCGTAGGATATTAATGAGAATTTTTGTAAAATGTTTGTTATTCAAGGGAAGTAATGTGACACCAAATGCTGGTGAGGATATATGTCAACAGGAACTCTCATTAATTTCTGGTGGGAATGCAAAGTCTTACAACCACTTTGGAAAATAGTTTGGCAATTTCTTATAAAATAACCTATCATCTCCAAATTATCCAGTGATTGTACTCATTGATATTTACCAAAATGAGTCCATACAAAAACATTCAAGAGATGTTTATGGCAGCTTTACTCATATTGTCAAAAATTGGAGACAACCAAGATGTCCTTCAATAGGTGAAAGAACAAACCGTGGAATAGCCATACAGTGTAATATCATTCAGTGATTTTTTAAGTGATTTACCAATCCACAAAAACACATGGATGAGCCTTAAATGCTCATTAGTAAAAGAAACTAGTCTGAAAAGGCTATGTACCACATGATTCCAACTACGTAACATTCCACAAAAGTAAAAATACCCAACAAAGAGATCAATGGTTGCCAAGATTTCAGGGAAGAAGGAAAGAAGAGATGAATAGACGTAACAGAGAAGATTTTTTTTAGGGCAGTAAGACTATTCTATATGATCCTGTAATGGTGAATCCATGACATTATGCATTTGTCAAAACCTATAGAACAGTACAGCACAAAGAGTGAACCCTAATGTAAACTATAGACATTAGTTAATAATAATATATCCATATTGGTTCATCAGTTACAAGAAATGTACCACACAAATGTAAGATAATAATAGGAGAAACCATATGGAGGCAGGAAGTTATGTACAATATGTACTTTCTGCTCAATTTTTTTCTGTAAGCCTAAAACCGCCATAAAAATAAAATACATTACTTTTTTGAGAAAAAGGCTTAATGGTCTGATATAGTTGAGATACCATTCTTTTTAAAGTCAGGAGGAAACTAAGTAATATATGGAGTTTTTTAAACTCATTTTTGTTATCCTACATTTTTCAGGCAATATAATGGGGGAAGCATAAGATTTTACAACCAATGCTATTGTTTGAATGCTTATATGCCACCAAAATTTGTATGCTGCAATAAAGTATCCAATATGTTGGTATTAAGAGGCAGTTCCTTTGGAAAGTGACTAGGTGGTGAGGTGGAGCCGTCATGAATGGGATTGGTGTCTTTACAAAAGAGGGCTGAGGGAGCTGGTTTACCCTTTTGCCCTTCAGCTATGTGAGGACACATAGCAGGCACCATCTATGAGGCATGAGCACCCACCAGACATCAAATTTGCTGATGCCTTGATCTTGGACTTTCCAGCATCCAGAACTGTGAACAATAAATTTCTGTTGTTTACTAATAACCCAGTTTAAAGGATTTTGTTACAGCAGCCCAAACAACCTAAGACAACTGGTTTAAATCATGTTTTCAAGTTGAGTTTCTAGATTAGCTACAAATGGTTAATTAAAGTCTAATAGGGCCATCGATTTTCAGGGTTATCTGTTCCACTGAAGAGAAATTATCTGAAGGGCTACTGTATAAAATCTATGAGTTATCATGTAAATTTAATAGATCTGGGAATTTTCCTTAATACGAAACAGTGAGTTAACTAAGTATATATTTACGCAGATGATAGTTGAACAGATGTTAATTCATGTGACATTGAAATGATGTGCAGCCCATCTTCTTGCGTTGCTCCCAAATTTCACATACTTTTTTTGACCTCTTTTAAATCTGAATTTATTAAAGAGGTTTATAGGATCACTCTTGTTCCTTAAAATGGTTTTCCCTTTTTTAGAAGACCTAAATTTTAAGTTTTAGTTGATTTAACATTTTGATTTATATAACAACACTTTGATGAGTAGCTGGAAATTTGTTACTGGTTTCCTATATAAACATTCCTTCACTCGGATCTCACATCTTTTATTCTATCAAGTAAATAAATTGAAAAGGTGCTATCTATAAGAGTATGAAATGAAGGTTGACCACATATGGCTCTGAAATGGTAAATGTCATGAAATAGCACCATAGTGATATTAGATGGAATAAATGCTTTAAGTGTTAATATTTGAAATAATTTCAAAAATTATGGAAAAATTTAGGAGTTTATTTAAAAATAATTATATTAATATTCACAATATATTCTTACAAAAGATCAAATTTTAACATTACATTATATCTTGGTTAACTGTATTTCTACTTCAGTGTTCTCTTGGATCACTCAAATTGGATCTTTATTATTATTGTTATTAACAAAAGTAGTAGTAGTAGTATCGTTATTATTTGGTTCATGGTTAACTACCAAAGTTTGATCAAGATACTACAAAATGGAATTCAATTTTTATCTCACATAACCCATAAAGGAAATACCAACATGAGATGCCATCACTATTTTTTTCATAAAAAGAACACAACTAGTTAGTAGTAAATTTAAAATAAACCTCTAATGACTATGTCTTTATGATTGAAATTCAAATAATTTGTGTCTATCCTAAAAGAAAGCTGCTCAAAATGACCTCCCATCTCAGAGAATATGCCCATGTTGGACTTTCCCCCAATACTCTCATAGTCATTTAAACTTGTTTGATTTAAAATTGAAATTAATCTTTAGGAGAATTATTCCTTGAGAACTGTTCTAAAGTAACATTCCATTCACCTCACTGCCAACTCTCAGATTCTACTACTTGAATTATCTCAAGACCTAATGTAAATTTATGTTTTTATATATCTCCATATGGAGAATAGTTAATTTTTTAAAATGAGGAGATTCTGTGAACTGGCTGGAACTTTTGTGGGCTAAGCCTTCTCTAGAAAAAAATAACTTTTAGATAAATTTTGGCAAATACAGAGATATTCTATTTAAATCCAACATTTTCAAAATTCCTAAAACACCATATGAAAATCAAAAAGTAAATCTAAATTTATGGGTAGCAAACATATTTAAAATGCAAGATTTTCTATTGAACTGGCAAGAAAGAAAAGACATCCACCTTCAATTTGTTGGAAGGAGATCTTTTCAATAACAAGTTTCTATTTCATTCCCAGGTTCATTTTGTTGAACACTTCCCTTCTTTACAAACTATGAGTATAGTAAACATTACTATACTTTATATGTTTCTTAGAGTATGAAGTAAGCTGTTATGAGCAGGCTTAGGCTAAAAAGCAGGAAAGAATAATTTAGTGTTTTAAGGAAAGAGTTTGAGGTTAGAAAGATTTGGCTTCTAATTACAAATATACTACTTGTCAGTTACGTGATCTTGAGAAATATATATTGTCCAACTTTCACTATGATAATCTTTAAAGTACATTTAATGATACATATTAGTGCATAACAGTACTTCAAGACATTATTTTTTAATTTATTAAAGTTATTAGTTTAGTAAATGAAATATGGTATCTGCTCAGTTGTTCAAGTAATGGTTGTTACTATGTCTATTGTAGTATAGAACAACTGTAACTGAGTAAGCACATCCTCTTTAATTCTAAGAAAAGATGTTCTAGAAGCCAACTTGAGTTTCAAAAGTTTTTTCTGCTTCATAATTTCTTTAACAATGTCCCAGAGACCATGTCTGGTTATAAGATAACAAAAGGCAGTGATATGGTTTGAATATTTGTCCCCTTCAAATCTCATGTTAAGATGTGATCCCCAGGCCGGGTGCGGTGGCTCACGCCTGTAATCCCAGCACTTAGGGAGGCCCAGGCGGGCGGATCATGAGGTCAGGAAATCGAGATCATCCTGGCTAACACGGTGAAACCCTGTCTCTACTACAAATACAAAAAATTAGCCGGGCATGGTGGCAGGTTCCCGTAGTCCCAGCTACTTGGGAGGCTGAGGCAGCAGAATGGCGTGAACCCAGGAGGTGGAGTTTGCAGTCAGCTGAGATCGTGCCACTACACTCCAGCCTGGGCGACAGAGCAAGACTCCATCTCAACAAAAAATAAATAAATAAAATAAAATCAAAAATAAATAAATAAAAAATAAAAATAAAATGTGATCCCCAGTGTTGGAGGTGGGGCCTAATGGGAGGTGTTTGGATCATGGCAGTAGATCCCTCATGAATGGCTTGGTTCCATCCTCAGGGTAATGAGTGAATTCTCTCTCTATTAGTTCCCATGAGATCTGATAGTTAAAAAGACCTCTTTCTTGCTCTCTTGCCTCCTTTTTTGCCATTCCATGTAACACGTCTGTTCCCCCTTCATCTTTTGCCGTGAGTAAAAGCTTCCTGAGACATCACCAGAAGTCAGGCAGATGTTTGTGCCAAGCTTACACAGCCTGAAGAACTAAGAGCCAAATAAACCTCTTTTCTTTATAAATACCCAGTCTCAGGTGTCCATTTATAGCAATACAAAATAGACTAACACAGGCAGGAACTGGAAAAGAGAGAGGAAAGGCTATAGTAAGCTGTCATCTCCCTTTTTTACACCTCCAGCTTGCTTTCCACCAAAGCAAATTTAGAGAGAATAACTAAGGCTCTAACCTATTGCCAACTTGCCTTTTTTTGACTCAGATGCTCCAGGGGAATAGGCCAATAAAAGGAATGCAAATTCATTGAGATTTTCAACTGGGGAAGAGAGACTGCAGCCTTGAAACAAAAATAGAACATCCTTTTCAGAGTTTTTTGGGACAATAAAGCAATTGGATGCCTAAAGGCTAAGAAATGAAGGAACCAAACATAGCATTTATACCATAAACAATATATTGGGGAAAAAAGGGATAAAGAGGCGGAAATTTGCCTAGCTTCAGTGTGAAACTGAGTCACTGGGACTTGGGATGAGATAACTAGGACATATGATAAAGGAAATCTGACCAGAAGAGACCATGTGAAAGGAAGAAAGTCAGCACAGCATGGTTGCCTAGCACCCTGGGCAAGCTCCTAAATCACCATCATCAGAAAAAGAAGTGGGAGCCAACTTAAAGAATGGTATTAACATGTTTTCTTGTCATCAGCTGTGGACTTCCCAATGACAATTATCAACTCAAACTCCAAGACATTTCTCAGCAATAAAAACACTCTGTGGACAACCATTTTCAATAACTTGGACACTTATAAACCCAGTCCCTACATTACAAATAAGTACAGTGAGTGGTCCATGATTCTTAGGATTGTAGTAGAGTGGAGAAGGGAATGTCATGAGCATCAGTCTTTGAATGGGACTGAATTAAATACCAGCTTGAATTTTCCTTGAAGCCAGAAAAGCAAGAAAATTCTACAATAATATGTGCATAATTATTAACTCCCCAAATGCACTATAAATACTTTCAAAAATTAAGGAAGTGGTCGGGACACAGTGGCTCACACCTGTAATCCTAGCACTTTAGGAGGCCAAGGTGGGCAGATCTCTTGAGGCCAGAAGTTCAAGACCAACTTGGTCAACATGGTGAAACCCCATCTCTACTAAAAATACAAAAATTAGTCAGGCATAGTGGTGGTTGGCTGTAGTCCTAGCTACTTGGGAGGCTAAGGCATGAGAATCTCTTGAGCCCAGGAGGTGGAGGCTGCAATGAGCCAAGATCACACCACTGCACTCCAGCCTGGGTGACAGAGCAAGACTCTATCTCAAAAAAAAAAAAAAGGCAAATGTTACTTGATAAGTGCTGGGACATAAGAAGGTAAAGGCCGGCCAGGCGTGGTGGCTCACACCTATAATCCCAGCACTTTGGGAGGCTGAGGCGGGCAGATCATGAGGTCAGGAGATCCAGACCATCCTGGCTAACACAGTGAAACCCTGTCTCTACTAAAAATACAAAAAATTAGCCAGGTGTGGTGGTGGGCACCTGTAGTCCCAGCTACTCGGGAGGCTGAGGCAGGAGAATGGTGTGAACCCAGGAGGCAGAGCTTGCAGTGAGCAGAGATTGTGCCACTGCACTTCAGCTTGGGCGACAGAGCTAGACTCCGTTTCAAAAAAAATAAAATAAATAAAAATAAGGTAAAGGCCATCAATTTGATGTCTTTATTTTCCTAATGTGAGTATTCTAGGAACATAGTCATTAGTCATGTGATTGTTTTCAAGTTTGCGGTCAAGTTAATTTAAAAAAAATCATTCTTGGAGTTTTTCTATGAAAAGGTTATGGCCCTGTGTAACCCAGATATACCATTTTGGCATAAGGATCATTTAGAGCTAAAGGCACTTAAAAACAACAACAACAACAACAACAACAATGCAAGATGGAGACTCTGACTCTCCCCTCTTTTTTCCTGAAAGCAGAGGATAAAACCCTTGTGTAGATTAACTCCCTGTACCAGAAGGAGAGTAACATTCTTATCAAGAATGGGAAGTGGGGACTAAGATAATTCTGTAAAAAACAGATCTTATTAGAATAATTTTTTATCATTTCTTAGCCTTCTCACCTGGTTTAGCTACTTTCCCTCAATTGCCTCTGTCTAACCTACAATCAAAGCATTTAAGTTTTGCCACTTCTTTGAGTCATCATTTCTTTATGAGAGCTCCCATGTTCTATAAAACTTACATAAATGTATATACTTTTGTTAATCTGTCTTATATCAATTCAATTATCAGGCCCAGCCAGAAACCCTAAGAGGTCAGAGATAAAATATTGCCTCTACTACAGGACAATAATACATAAAGCAAAAATTTGAAGAAAAATTTTAAAAAGCTAAACTTTGAAAAGTGTGTGCTATAAAGCCTAACACTGACAGATGCTCCGTTAGAAGTTGATGCTGTTAAATTCTTTGTATTCAACCATGTTTAAAATTAAAAAAGCTCCCTCATTAAATAATAACATAAACAGCAAAGAAAAACACACCAAAGCTAATCATTCATTTTAAGGGATTTCAAATTTGGCCTCTTTTTGTTCTATTTACGACATAATTTATTTGCAAATATTCTCCATCATGAGGAATAGTTTCAAAAAAGTGTATATTATGGTAAGTTTTTTGTCAGAAGTAAAATGATCATTAAAATGAGAACATATTTGCTTTCATGGTATTGTATTATTTGCTTAACAATTTACCTTAATAATATTTTGTATACCAAAACTCTGAAGACAACACAATATTGCCAGGCGTTAGTTACTAAGTTAGATTGGTTTTCAATCTTGAACTTGGCACATTATATCTCAGCATCCAGTTCTTCCTCACACAGACAGTGATAATAAAACAAAGTTTGTCCTGCCTATCTCAGATGCAAGGTGAAGGTAGAATACAGGATGATGTATATGAGAATGACTTGCATACCACACTACTGGGAATTATTTTAACCAATTTATCTGATGAATGAGAAGGGTAATGGTAGGATGGTAGAAATAGATTATTTTTAAACTGTTTGGATTTGAAGGAAGAAAATTACCAATTGCTTTGTTTATTGCAATTCCTTCTTTATCTACATATGCTTTTATGTTTTAAACTTAAGCTTCTTCAATTTAATCAATTCAGATTAAAATAAATTGTAAGCAATACATTTAAAAGACTCAGATAAATATGACTTTAAATAAAAAATTGTTATACTATTTTGCCTAACTAAAAGCTGAAAGTTCAGCACTTGAAGCATTGAACTATTATGTTTTTTATTAGCTAAATAAATTTAAAATATTAAAATATTTGTAATATTTTAGCACCCTTGTATTTTAAAATATAATAAAAGTAAAATTAAATTTCAAGACAAATGTGATGTCATTTGGCATTATTAAATTTAATAAATTAATAATTATTTAGAGAACATATATTTTAAAAGGGAAATTATTAATTTTAATTTTACCAAATTCAATATTTTCTAAGTTCATGCGTAATTCATCTATGCAAACAAGATGTAAAACATTAGAAAAAATATTTAAATATATAATTAGTGAATTATAATATTCAGGTTCTCATTATTTTAATACATTAGTTTCCAAACATATTTAAATAATTTACTTCAAATTATAATTCAAAAAATCTGCTTCAGGTTATATTTTTGCTTTATAATACTATCTAAAGTTTGAAGATTTCTGTGGAAAACACTACTTCTTTTAGAAAACAAATGAGTCTTTAGCTTAATAAAAATCATAATTCTAGGCCAGGCGCGGTGGCTCACGCCTGTAATCCCAATATTTTGGGAGGCCAAGGCAGGTGAATCGCTTGAGGTCAGGAGTTCAAGACCAGCCTGGCCAACATAGTGAAACCCCATCTGTACTAAAAATACAAAAAATTAGCTGGGCTTGGTGGCAGGTACCTGTAGTCCCAGCTACTCGGGAGGCTGAGGCAGGAGAATCACTCGAACCCAGGAGGCAGAGGTTGCAGTGAACTGAGATCATGCCATTGCACTCCAGCCTGGGCAATAAAAGCAAAGCTCCATCTCAAAAGAAAAATCGTAATTCTAATAATCTAATTTCTATAATATTTACTCATAGATGAAATAATTAATCAGTTAGAATGTGTTTTAATTTTTACCTGTCTCTGACCTGTCTCTGACCTGTCTCTAAGGTCTTCTAAGACAAATTTGACTTAAGCAGTTACTTTGCTGAATGTAATGTCAAAGGAGGCTTACTGATTTAAGAGTTCAATAAGAAACCCATGAAGGTCCATTCTTTGAATAAAGTCTCAGGGAGAGCATGTTACAGCAGAGACAATTCAGCATTTGATGAAATTGTAAGTAAAGTTTGCTTTCGCATATCCAACAATGTTCAAGTTGTCTTTCTGTAAACATTAAAGAAAGTATTTGAAACTATAAAATACCTAGAATAATTATTCAATAATTCCTTGCACATTTTATTCAGATATGAGTAAATTAATAACCAGTGAGGTAGAATTATGTTTAGAAATTGATTTATAAGCAGTATTTTCATACCTTCTTGCCTAATATTATGTATTTACCTCTTTCCTGGATGAATAAACTCAGACCCCTCATCTTCCATTGTTACCTCCCATAAGGAAATTGAGTAGTAATTTTAGAAATCTTCTCAACAAAGTATTGAATTGCTTTTATAAGTATTTAGCACATAATATTAATCTATATTTCAAGAAAGAAAGATGGTATAAAAATACCAAACCCTTGATATAAAGGTTTGACACCCAGTAGTGATTATAGTGAAATTTAAAGAAACATAGAGATACGTTTTCCTTCATTTTCTTCAACTTAGAGGCAAAAATTAAGGGAAAATATGTTATGTAACATTTAATTATTTGTACTACCATAGGAGCCTGAGATAAAGCAATTAATTATGCAGGAGGAAAAACTCTTTAAATAAAGTGAAGAAATTTTTGAAGGGAGAAGAAGAAATATAGTTTTATCAAATGTTGTTAATAAGTCAAATAAGTCTGACATTGGATTTAGTGACCTCCTTTGTAATGGAGATTTCCGTGGATTAATGGCAAAAGCCTAACTGAATATTTTCAAAAGAAAATAGGAGGAGGGGAATTTCAAACTGTGAGTGGAAAATACACAAACACACACACACACATACACACACACGCACACACCCATACAGTTCAGTTTAGTTGTAAAGGAAAGGATAGGAATGCAATGATAGGTAAAAAGGAAAGAGGGTCTAGAGTAATGTTATTATTATTTTTAAGATTGGAAAATAAAATGCCACATTTGCATACTATTGGAAAAGTCTGAGAAAAGAGGGAATATTTGGAACCTGGCATTTTGTCAATTTCCTTTGAAAGGTTCATTGAAGAGGTTCCTTGGTGATCCCATGTCCTCCCACTGGGCCAGGACTCCAGATGACCCAGAGGGTCTAAGGTTGCAAAGTCACTGCAACCAGCACTATAAAGTCAGCAAGGAGAAGTCGTGCTGCCAGAGCCCTGATCTAGGACTGGTGACTGGAGTGAACTGGAACTGCAGACAGCACCTGGCTTTTCACTGTGATCTTGGTCAGAACCTAGAGAAGGTCTCTCTACCAGAGATCCAGGTTTCATTTCATCTGCAGCTACCGCAGACAGTTCTTCAAACAAGCTGAAAATGCCCTGCTCAGGCACTCACCACAACCCTGTGCTTAGCCGCTCCAGACTTCCTAAGCCTCTTCAGCTGGTTCCACCTGTGTTCAGAGCAACTAGGAAGTGAGAGAGGCAGAGGCAAACCTCCACAAAGGGAACGAAACAGATAAATCCTCCCCTGTCTTTAGGAGAAATAATTCTGGAGTACATTCCAAAGTTCCTGGACAGGCCCAAGGAGGATTAAGCCCCAGAGGCCGACAGCACTTAGCTATAAACCCCTCCCCCATTTGCTCTTTCCCTTCCTGAGCTGCCTCTACCTGCTCCCTCTGACCTGCTTCCTGAGTTCGCCTTCTTTGTGGAACACCTGCACCAGATCTTTGTCCTGGCTCTGTTTTATGAGGCATCCAAATTAGACAATGTCCAAGGATTTTAATTATAACATTACTTGCAATGACAAAAATAAAGCCAACATTTAAAGCAGTGCAGGAATAGGTAAATATTGTGATATAGCATTATTAAATATTCTGTAGTCACCAAAATTTTTTTGGATAAAGTATAAGACATTCACAAAAGCTAAATCTAGGGGTGTATATATGGTTAGGTTTTATTCTATTAATTCTTTTCTCTTATTACAGTTTCTTAAGTCATTTATGCCATCTTTTTAAACATGAGAATACAATATATGTTAATTATGGAGATAAATACCATCAGCAAAGCATAAACTATGAAGAGAAAGTCTGCATATCCTTTTTCTTCAGTGCAGGCAAATTGAATAAATGATTAGGTTTTAACTGGTTGAAAAGCTACAGTAAAAAGATAAAATATATTTCAAAGAACTGGAATTATAGCAAATATGCAAAGAAAAGAAACGTAAAGTTAATAGCATCTTTTAGAATTTTTGACTCATTTTAATTTATGTAATTGCATTGTATTGTGTAGTGACCAAAATGATATATTATTGAAGGTAAATACCATACATGTGTAAAAGTATGTAGAAAGATTGTCTTCTTGCAGTCTTGTTATCTGCTTTAGTTTATCAAACAAATATCCATATTTATTTGATGACACTGATATCTTCATCGTTTTAATTTCTTTAGTTGATGACTAATTTAGAAGCCACCCATAGATCTAAATCATTACACTGTTTCTTTTTATGTTTACTGTTTAGTCCTCATCTATGCCATACATCAAAATTAATGTTTTTATGAGAGGATAAGTGCATTATCAGAATCATGGCATGCTAATAAAAATGCAGCAAGTTCTTTTATTATATAAACGGGTAATCTATCTGCATGTTGCCAGAGAAATCTTTATAATCTATTATTTTAATAAGTCAAGTGTATAAAGTCTTCAACTGAAAATAATGAATTACAATCCAGAGTAAGTAGTAGATGACAGAAAGATATTTAATCATCTTATTTCAGTAAGAAATAAGGTGTTTTAAAGAATGGTAAGAACATTCTGATACTGTTTGTCCTTATAGGATCTTTGTATTTGACTGTATAATAGAGACTGAGGAGATAACATGATGCCACGTACAGTGGTACAGTGGCTCAAGCCTGTAATCCCAACATTGGAGGAGTCCAAGGTGGATGGATTGCTTGAGCCCATGAGTTTGACACCAGCCTGGGCAACATGACGAAACCTTGTCACTACAAAAAATATAAAAATTAGATGAGCATGGTGGTGTGTGCCTGTAGTCTCAGCTACTTGGGAGTCCTTGAGCTCGGTGAGATGGAGGCTGCAGTGAACCGTGATGGTGCCACTGCACTCCAGCCTGGGCTACAGATCAAGACTCTGTCTCCAAGAAGACAAATACATCATATATTAGACCATAATGACCCATTTGTCAAATTCATAATGATTCCATGGATATTTGGAATTTCTATGACATAATATCAATTTTATTTCTGCTTATATGCAAAATATACAACATAAATATAATTTCCCAACTAGATAAAACAATGAATAACATTTAAAAAGGGAACAAAAATATTGTAGAATTTCAGTAAATAATAAATTCATTAACTTTTTATTGTTTACCTTTTATTCTGCAAATATTTACTCAGCACCTGGTAAGTTGCAGACAATGTTCGGGGCACTAGATTACAGTGGAAAACAAAACAGGACAAAGTTATTGTCTTCAATTTAGTGAAAACACCATGTGCAAGCTAAAATTAGAGAACAACTGAGAACAATTAGAGAACAACTGAGAACAATTGGAGAACAATTGTGTGAAAGGAGAATAGCTGTGGAGAAAAGTAGGGTAAGGAAGGGGGATAGCATGGGTAGAGGGCCAGAGCAGTACTATAATTTTTAAACAGAGTGGTAAAGGATGGCTTTACCGACTGAAATTAGTGCAAAGGCCTGACAGAGGGGAGAGAGACAGCAATGGAGAAGAATTCTCTGAACAAGACAGTGGAAAGGCCCTGAGGTAGGAGCTGATTTGGTGTGTTGGAGGACTAGCAATGAGACCTCCTGATTTTAAAGCAGAGTCAACGAGGGAAAAAGAGGCAGATGTCTTTGAAGAGACAATGATGGATTGTGTTGGATTTTGTAGACCACTGCAGGAAGTAGCCTGTACTAGTCACTCAATTACTCCTTATCAGAGTACTTACAGTTACAAATCATCCTTTGCTTTTCCAAAATTGGGACTTGGAGTCTCTATCAGTTAAACAGAATAATCTTCATAAAGATTCAAGTCTCTTCATTAAGTGAAATAAACCAAGCAACCACGATCATGCAGTATCATGTTTGTACTGAGAAGCGGCAGTATCTATAATAACCTTAAGTTTCCTGATCAGAACCATTGTCAGCATGTGGAAATTAGGCTTGTCTCTATCCAGAAATTTTAAGCACTATTAAATTCCATGCATTTATAAAATTCCAACTAATTTCAATTTACTATCATCAAGGCAAAAACTTTTACTTAAACTATCACCTTTGACAATTGCAATCTAAACGCTAGTACAAATTATAAATTTGCTAAACTATGTTCATTCATTGGAGATCCCAGCAAGAGATACATATTTAGAATGCTAAATTCCTATTAAAAATAGGAAGAAGGAAGTTCACATTAAAATGTGAATTTATTTTATTACTTGCTAATTATTATTCAAAATTTATGTAAATATTTATAAAGATATAAAACATAAATAAGCAATTGCTACTATACAGCATCTGTTATGTGTAATGCATTGTACAAATCACTTTACATTTATTATCTCATTCCTTACCACAATAGGAAATATATTTTTAAATAAACTTTTAGAACAGCTTTAGATATTCAGAAAAATCTTCTGAAGACAGTATAGCAAATTCCTGTATAACCCAGTAACTAATAAATTTATCTTATTATTAACACCTTACTATAATTATATTTGTTGTAATTAATTACATTACATTAAATAAAGTTTATATTTTATTTAAATTTTCTTAGTTTTTACCCACCATCTTTGTCTATTTCAGAACCCCATCTAGAATATCAGATTACATTGTACTGTCAGATCTCCTTAGATTCCATTTAACTGTGACAGTTTCTCAGACTTTTTTTTGTTTTGCATAACCTTTACATCTTGAGGAGCACTGGTCAAATAAATTTCTGTAGCTTGTTTCTAAATTGAGATTTTTCTGATGGTTTTTATTATTAGAATGGGATTTTGGGTTTGGGGGAAGAAAATCGAAAGGGTAAAGTGTCACTTTCATTATATTCCATCAAGGGTACTCTTATGGGTTGAATTGTGTTCCCTCAAAAAAAATTTATTGAAGTCCTAACCTTGTTACCTCAGAATATGATTTTATTTGGAAATAAGGTTGCTGCAGATGTAATTAGTTAAATTAAAATGAAGTCACACTGCATTAAAGGGTGGGTTTATAATCTAATATGGCTGGTGCTCTTTTAAGAAGACAGCCAAGTAAAACCAGAAACAGAGACAATGTCATGTGATGACTCAGGGAAAGATTGGTGTGATGCAGCTGTAAGCCAAGGAATGCTGACGATTGCCTTCAACACCAGAAAGTAAGAGAAAGGCATGGAACACATTCTGCCTTAGAGCCTTCTAGAGAGCATGGTCCTGCCACCTTCATTTTGGGCTTCTGATCTGTAGAACTGTGAGAAAATATATTTCTGTTATTTAAATCACCTAGTAAGTGGTACTTTGATACAACAGCCCTAAGAAACTAATACAGTTACATAGTATTCGTATGACTTATTGATGTTGATGTTAACCTTAATCCCTAGTCTCTTGTAGTGTTTGTCAAACATAATGATGCAGTATTAAATCTTAGCTACATAAAATTAACTGTAGTAATAAGGGATCACTGCAATAATTTTGTAGCCACCTTCTATTACTATTGTGGTGAGCTCACTGTTGCAAGTACCTGCTTAAAGCATCATGTAATGCCAATCATCTCCACACGAGCAGTTCTCCACAGTAAATTTCATATCTCAGTAAAAACTGTTCTCTCATGGTTCTCAAGTATTTTTTGTTGTGTTTAGTGCAATACTGTAAACCGTGAATAACCATGAAACCAAAAGGAAGTGCCAGTAGTGATGCCAAAAGTACTTCCAAGAAGCAGGCAAAAGTAATGACATTACAAGAAAAAGTTGAATTGCTTGATATGTACTATAGATTGAAGCTTGCAGCTGTGGTTGCCCATTATTTCAAGATAAATAAATCTAGGGTAAGGACCACTATCAAAAAAAAAAAAAAGAAAAGAAAATTTGTGAATGCATCACTACAGCTATGCAAGCAGGTGCAGATACCTTACACTTTTCATGAAATATCTTTTCATCTTAGAAGCTTTTATGTGGGTGCAGCATTGTTATAAGAAAGGCATATCCATAGATTCTAATATGGTTCAAGAAAAAGCGAAGACATCAGAGACAACTAAAATCTAAAGGCTTTTCATTGTAATAATACAGTATATAATACATATACAAAATATGTGTGAATGAACTGTTTAGTCATAAGAAGGCTTCTGGTTAACAGTAGACTATTAGTGGTTAAGTTTTTGGCAATCAAAAGTCATACATGGGTTGTTTAATATGTGGAGTGTCGGTGCTCTTAACCCCTGCGTTGTTTAGGGTCAGCTGTGGATACATACACACACACAAACACACACACACACACACACACATACACGTATCTATGCAAAACTTTCAAGCATTTTCATAATTTTAAATCACTTATAATTTGTTTTGACTTTTTATTTGCCAAATTCTCTCATTCTTCATTTAGTTTATCTGACATCTGTACTCTTATTCCATGATTATTATCAGAAGTTACTTAAGTTTCTACTTTAGAAGAATTTATTAACTTTTGTCTGGACCTTGAAAATAATTTCCTAACTAACTTCTTGTTCATAGCTTCCATATCCACTGATGTCACACACATATTCGTAAAATACAATGAACATATCTGGCGCTCATGGGAAGCAATACAGGATACATACTGATTTTCCATTACCAACCAAATAAACCTTTTCCACTTTGACCCAAGGTTTGCACAACCCAGTTGCATACAAAATTTCTATTGTCACCACCTTATGTACTCTTATCCAATTATCAAACTTTAGCAAATAAAATTTGCACAGGCCTACATAGATACACTGTATTTTCCCAAATACGTATTCTTATTCACATTGTTTTCACTATCCAGAATAACCTATTGCCCACAGCCGAATACCTGGATCATACTTGTCCTTGCCAGACAAGAACAAATGTAGTTCGCTTGATAAAACCTTTCCTCATCTTTCCAGTTAAAAGTACTCTTTTTGTTCTCTGAACCTCCTGACATTTAAGCATTTCCTCTTTTACACACCACTCTTGATCTTATATTAGAGAAATTCATGAATATAAGATTATTGTAAGCAGGATACATATCTTAGCACTTTTAAAAATCCTCCACAGCACCTAACACTGAATCTTCCATATTTAGTTTTATGTTTATCATGAATTCATGCGGCGTAAGTTAAGAAGAATAGAGTTATTTTTAACCTTCTGCCAAATTGACAAAATTTACAAGTCTTTTTTCAGTAAAATCAAATTACACAATAATTTATTCAATATCTCCTTCATATCTAGCTCTCTATTTTCCACAAGCTATTTGATGGAGCTTTTCTAACTCGGGCTAATTTATAAAATCAGATATTGTTTTAGCTCTGCCTCTTTCTTCTCATCATTCTTATATTTTAGTATGTATCTGCGGTACTTATTTTTCTCTGAGAATATAATTATATCATTGATTTGAATGTGAACATTGCACTTATTACCCTTAGAATCATTTCCTCTCAAAGTGAAAGAAGAATCTCCCCAAGAGTTAAAAAAGAAGTCTAGAGAAATACTTGCAAATGAAAGTGGTAACTGTCTACATAACTCCATTCTCTAACTTAGCCAGTTTTAAGTATTAGGAAAAAGTTTAGTTTTCTGCTAAGAAATTATATAAAAACTGATAAATAATTTAGAGCATAGATTGGATAAAGAAGTAACTTGAAAGCTGGAACTAAAATGGAAAAAAACTAAATATAAAAATGCCTTATCAGAAATAATCAAGACAACAGCAGAGATTAATGTTATCATTGATTGATAGAGTTCATGTGGCTATTGCTGATTCTTTCCCAGACTGGTCAGCACTTCTCCATATTTTTTGTTTGTTTATTTATTTATTTATTTATTTTTGGAGACGAGTCTTGCTGTGTCACCCAGGCTGGAGTACAGTGGTGTGATCTCACCTCACTGCAACCTCCACCTCCCTGGTTCAAGCGATTCTCCTGCCTCAGCCTCCCAAGTAGCTGGGACTACAGGCTTGTGCTACCATGCCCAGGAATTTTTGTATTTTTAGTAGGGATGGCTAACACCAAGTTAACCAAGCTAGTCTTGAACTCCTGACCTCAGGCAATCCGCCCACCTCAGCATCCCAAAGTGCTGGGATTATAGGTGTGAGCCACTGCGCCTAGCCCACTTCTCCATATTTTTTATCCAAATACCTAAGTATTTTTCTAGAAGCATATTCTTTTGCAGTGATTCTTCCTTCAAGGACAATGATTGCTAGTTTTCTACAAGGTCATTTTTGACAAGTTACCCAGATAAATCACATATGCAACAGTATTTGCATTGAGCACTTGATGTCTGTCTGGTGTGTTCTACACACTTTTGATACTACTATCCTAATAAGGCATTGTTATACCCTCATTATTTGAACCTCCCAATTGAATGGGAAGAATATAAGCAAGTAAATACATAGCTTTTTAGATACTGTGAAATTGTAATAATTCTAAATAATGTGAGATAATACATAACAGTGTAGCCGAAGGCTGGAAGGGCAGTGTGTTTGTGTGTATATGTATGTGTTTGTGTGTATGTGTATGTGTGTGTAATTAGAAAGGTCAAGAAAGGTGTCTTTTGTATGTACCATTTGAGCAGGAAGCTTGAATGCAATGAAGGGGTGGGCTACATAAACATCAGCATTGGTACAATCCTTCTTTACTCATCACTTTCCAGATGCAAAACACTGTATTGTTTAAATAAGGTAAAGGAATTTGAGCAAGAAGAGTATTTGAGATAATACTTCGACTCTATTTTGCACACCCTGTAAGGTTTATAGCTTAATCCAGAGCTATTTGTATCTTTGCATCAACATGCACATTGATTGCTTAAGAGATATAGAATCTTGCAAGTTTTTAATATTAGACACTCTTTCTTAGAATTAGCTTTTGTTGATATAAATGAAAATAAAATCCATTTCAACCCAAAGAGACAGGTAGTTGTTCCTCATTATTTAAGACAGGTTTGACCATAATATCTTCATTCTAAGATGGCATCATTTTTCTTTTTCTGAAATAGCATCACTTTAAAAGCAGCTTAATAGAAGAAATGTTAGCATTGTGTAGAATATAGATATAAATATATATTAATGTGTATTAACATATATGTAATATTAACAATGTTAATATTGTGTAGAATATATATATGTACACATGCATACATAAACTGTATAACTGGGGAAAATCTTGTACTTTTTTTGGTTTCTTGGAGTGAATATCATAATAAATGTTTGCATCTAAGCTGTTGTGTGTTTTTTTTGCATACATACAAGAATAACAGTGTTCAACAGTTAAAGAAATAATAGCAACAACCCCTCCTATGAAGGGGAAAAAAACTTCATTTCCAAGACATTTGTTAATTTATTTGCCTTTCATTGTGTTGTCTGATATATAACTTTATGTGTAGTTAGCAGAAAGTTTCACTTTAAGATCATCAAAATATTTTAGAAGGCATTTTAATGTTCTTATTATCAAGAATTAGGGTTAAATCTTTAAATTAAACTTCAATTTGGTTCTGTTACCAATGCAAATAAGTCAAGCACAGTAAAAATCAGTGGATGATATACATTCGTGTATTACAACCTTCACTCTGGTACATAACTTATTCCTGTTACGTATAGAAACTACTCATTAAATTCAGAGTGGACATACAGTAATAACTCTTTATTTTTTATTATTGCTGATTGTATTTAATACTTTTAAGAAGTACAGTATACCCTGCTTGAATTGCTGTGTATATTTTCCAACAGCCCAGGACTCCCATGCCATTCATAAAGGTTCATTTCAGCTTTCATGCACTGAATGAATACTGGTGTCAGATTAGTTCACTTTTGCGACTACTTCTTAATGCCACATTGTGTTGTGCTGAAAATCAACTAAACATTGGTCATCTGGTTTCCCTGATTTAAAGATCTCTTGCTGGTGTCATCCTAGTCAGGCCTCATTGTTATTCAAGAGCACAGCCATTCTGTCAGTGCTGAGGTCTAACTTAGATCTTCGATATGGCAGCCATTAAATTACAATTTTAGACTCAGTTATCTTTCTTCTTTCTGCCTGCTAGGATTAGTTCCAGCAACTTCTACTTGAGAGACTCTTAAAAATACTCCCCCACATTTTTTCTCATTTATAAACAGAAGTAGTCAAACTGCTTGTCTGTCTTAATTTTACCCTCTTTCTCCAAATACTCATCCTGTGCAGGGGGAAACATTTAGTGATTTCTGTGAACCTGAACGTTCCTTACTGTGATAGCTTTCATCCAGTAACTTGAGTAGATCTGCTGCCATTTTCTCTTCTAATGGAGGCCAATCTTGGTGTGATGGTTAATTTTAGATGTCAACTTGACTGGTCAAAAAGATGCCCATATAGCTAGTAAAACAATGTTCTTGAATATCACTAAGAAAGTAGCTTTGAAGTGTTCTTGCCACAAAAAATAAGTATGTGAGACAATACATATGTTAATTAGCTCAATGTATTCATTCCAAAATGTATACATATTTTAAGACATTATATTGTACACAATACAGATGTATAATTTTGTTAATTAAAAACAAATTTAAAAATAAAATAACTCCACATTATTGTGGGTGTACTTATGATAATGTTTCCCAAAGAGATTAGAGTTTGAATAGGTAGACTGAGTAAAGCAGATGGCTCTCCGCAATGGGGATGGGCCTCATCTAACCACTGAGGTCCTAAATAGAAAAAAAAAGGCAGAAGAAGTGCAAATTTGCTTTCTACTTCAGTTGGGACATCCATCTTTTCCTGCCTTTGGACATCATCAGCACTCCCGATTCTCAGCCTTAAACTCAGACTGAGACTTACACCAACACCAACACCCCCCAAATCCCTACTCTTCCACCTCTGTTCTCAGTTTAATCTCCTGCACTTGGGTTGAATTACACTGCCAGCTTTCCTGGTTCTGCAGCTTGCTAACATCAATAAGATCATGGGACTTTGTTTTCAGCTTCATAAGCATTGGATGAGCCAATTCTTATAATAATCTTTCTCTCTCTCTCCCCCCAATCCGTGTGTGTGTGTGTGTGTGTGTGTGTGTGTGTGTGTGTGTGTGTGTGTGTACAGAGATGCTGGTGGCATCAACTAAGATATATATATTTGTTCGTTGTTTCTGAAGAAGTCTGCCTTAATGAACTTGGTGTTTCCAAGATAGCATTCCTTGCATGTATGCATTCTTATTAACTACTCTCATTAAAGAAAAGGAAGTGCAAACACATATAGGTGTAATCTCTGCCAGAATATCCCCTCTAGTAGTTTCCCTACAGTGCTTCTCTGCCAGGAGCCTGGCAAATTTATTTTGGCATTCATTACAAGATATCCTGATTTCAGAAAAAATGTGAGAAATGTGTTACTTAGACTTTGGCAACGTATTAGGAAGAGTCACCATTTCATATTATGTCCTCCAGCTGAATTTAGAACTGCTGAATTATGTCCTAAAAGAAATTGAGTGGGAAAAATAAGAGATACATTTGTTGATTAGCATGTTCAACTTGTCTCACTCCTTAAGGGAAAGTGGCACTATTATCTACTCTTTTATTCAAGCCAGGAAACTGTATCATCAGACTACTGCCTTTTCGTTTTTCCTGTCTCCTACACCTAATCCATCACCACATTGTGTCAATGCTGTCTCCTAAATATGATTCACACTGGTCCATTTCTTTTCCATTTCTGCTGATATACTTTAGTCCATGCCACCAGCATCTCTGGCTTGAATTGCACTAATGGCCTCCAACTAGTGTTTCTGCCTCCAGTCGTGTTTGCAAATCAAATCCATTTCTACACTGTAGCCAAAATGTTCTTTTTAGAGTATAAATCTGATCAAGTCACATCTCTAGTAAATTATATTAGTGGCTCCCCAGTGTTCCCAGAATAAATCTCTGTACAGCTTACTAGTCTCCTCATGTTCTGGGCCCTATTCACCTTCCCAGCTTCAACCCCTAGCACTTCTCTTCCAATACCCAATAATACAGTAAACTGAACTTCTCTCCTGGTAGTTTCACACACTGTTGATCTCTCTGAATGGAATGACCTTCTGCCTTCTCTCTCTATCAAGCCCTGACTGGTCCTTTTCATCCTTAACTAAGATGCCATTGCTTTAGGAAAACCATCCCCAACTCTGCTGAGTTTGTCCCGATGCATGTCCTTAATAAAATATTTATCTTTTTATGTTTAGATTGCTGGTTTTACTAACTTCTTTTTATCTATAAGCATGCTGGTATTGGATAGAATGCAATAAAAACACCTTAGATTCTTAGTCTATAAAAAAGGAAGTAGTAGCAAAAGTGAACTAATCTGACACCAGAATTCACTCATGCATGAAAGCTGAAATGAACCTTTATTCATATGTATTTATTGATATTTATTTTAAGTAGTCTGCATGTCAGTGCCATTAAATGGATTGTATAATCTCCCATTTTCCTCAGTCTTCACTACAGCCTTTTTTCTGTATCTGCTCTCCACTTTAATCACTTCCATTTCTTCTAGAGATATTTAATATTGTGACCCCAACAGGAATGTGTTAATTCTTTGGTGCCATTTTCTCTTTAGAGTTATATCCCCTGTTTGGCTCAATAAATATTTATTGAGTAAATGAATTATCATCAGTGTAAGTTACACACAAATAACTTTTTCATATTACCTATAGCTTATTAACAGAAAAAATATGCTTATCTGAAATGGCAAGACTTACATCTGTTTGCTTAATTTTCATTGTGGACATAGAGTGAATTTTTTTACCACCAATTATAAGTTGCATTATTCTCTACAGCAGTCAGTTCACAACAGTATTTATGTTATTAGGGGTAAAAACCAAAAGTGTGGGGAGAGGGTTTAAAATTGGTAAATATGCTTATGAGAATTTTGAGAATGTGAGTAACACAACAGACTTCCCCTCCCGAAATTTGCTTACCAAATATCTACATTCTTTATATTAAATATGAAACAAAAATATCCCTTAAAATTAAATTATATTTTGTGGGTATGTTGCTGGTTATACTAAACTAATCAGCTTAGAATAACTTGGAATCAAAACAGCTTAAATTAAAAAATGATGTTTACTTTTCAATATTTTTTAAACATTGGAATTTCAATTATTTATGTGAATTAAACTAGAGTAGCATGAGCAACATTTCTTTATAATGCTTTGAGAAAATTTTTACAAAATGTCATGTAACAAATATAACCTTTAAAATCTAATATCTACCATTTTGCCCACTGGATTGGGTTGAATAGTGTTCTGAAAAACTTAATATCTACTTGGTACCTCAGAATGTGACCTTATTTGGAAATAGCATTTTTGAAGATTTAATTATTTTTAAGGACCTCAAGATGAAATCCTTCCTGATTTAGGGTTCTAGGGCGGGTGTTCTTATAAAAGAGAAGAGGACACACAGAGACACATAGGAAAGAGGTCATGGGAAGGTGGAGGCAGAGATTTATAAAGCCAAGCAATTCCCGGAGCCACCAGGACCTCAAAGAGGCAAGGAAGGATTCTTCCTTAGATCCTTTGGGGGGAGTGTGGTCCTGCCGACACCCATGATTTTGTCCTTCTGGCTTCCAGAATTACGAAAGGATACATTTCTATTGCTTTAAACCAGGGGTTTCCAACCTTTGGGCCATGGACCTGTACCTGTCCATGGCCTTTTAGGAACTGAGCGGCAAAGCAGGAGGTGAGCGGCTGACCAGTGAGCATTACCACCTGAGCTCTTCCCCCTGTCAGATCAGCAGCAGCATTAGATTCTCATAGAAGCACAAACTCTGTTGTGAACTGCGCACACAAGGGATTTAGGTTGCGGGCTCCTTATGACAAGTAAATGCCTAACGATCTGCCACTGTTTCCTATCACCCTGAGATGGGACCGTCTGGTTACAAGAAAACAAGCTCAGGGCTGCCACTGATTGTACATTATGGTGAGTTGTATAATTATTTCATTATACATTACAATATAATAGTAATAGAAATAAAGTGCACAATAAATGTAATGTGCTTGAATCATCCCCAAACCATCTCACCATGCCCCATCTGTAGAAAAACTGTCTCCCACAAAACCGGTCCCTGGTGCCAAAAAGGTTGAGGACCACTGCTTTAAACCATCCAGACTGTGACAATGTGTTATTACAGCCCTAGGAAACCAATATAGCTATCAAGCACACACTCCTCTGAGGATATGTTTTATCTTCATTCATTTTCCTATAATTTTGAAATTCTCTGTTGAAAATCATTCTATGCTTTTGAAAGTGTTATACTTCAAACAGTTTGGCAGTTTTCCAATACAATGACCAACTACATTTCTAAAATAATACACAATGTTCTATTTTTATCTACATTGATAAATAGTACCATGAGAACAATGTATACAGATTTTAAACAACTGTATATAATTTCTAGCCCAGCAAATTAGAAAAATTTCAGATACACTTAAAACTTTGTTCATTCAGGTGGGATGCAAATCATATTTATTTATTGAATCACTTTTTTAAATTATACTCAACTAAAATGTGTTATCTACATGATAGTTTCTAGGCTCACTATTTTCTTTTTGCTATTCCATTAGAGGAAGATATACTGAAACATGCAGGAATTATATATTTAAACCTTATATTTGAGTATCACCATATTTTTTAATTCCATTATAATATTAGGCCCAATGAAAAGGTCATGTGAAAGAACAGCAAGAAAGAAGCCATCTGTAAGCCATGAAGTGGGCCCTCATCAAGAAACAAATCTGGCACCTTGATGTTGAACTTTCCAGCCTCTGGAACTGTGAGAAATAAGTGTCTGTTTTTAAGTCACCCAGTCTGTGGTATTTTGTTACCTCAGCCCAAATTAATACGGTAATCTAATATTTTCAATTACCAGAAGCAGTGACATTCAGCAGAAATATGAGTTGTAGGAAATAACAAAGTTCCAATATAGTGTAGGTTTGTGCTTAAGATAACGAGTTGTGGCAACTACACTCAAACATTAGCATGCACTGGAATCACCAGGGGGTCTTTCTAAGACACAAATTCCTGGGCCCTGCCCCAGAGTTTCTGATTCAGTAGGTTCTGATTGGGGCTCAAGATTTTTCATGTGTAACACATTCTCAGGTGATGCTGATGCTGTTGGTTTGGGTGCCATACATTGGGAAACAGTAGAGTACAACATGAAGAGGCCTAGATCTGAATTCTGAATTATGACTGTTTTGTTGTTAATAACTCTATGATCTGAGTAAATTTTATTAATTTCCTTATCTATAAAAATAAGGACATTAGAAAATGTCATCTATCATATAGTGTTATGTTAAATAAAATCACATATTTTAAGCACATAGATCAAGGCCTAACACATAATAAATGCTCAGTAGAATATTTATCTTACTCCAACCATTTACTTACTTCTCCCAAAGTTGGTCAACACTGAAACTCTAGAGTGTTAACTCATACCACATAGTTTGTTCTAAGGTTGCGTGCATGCGTGTGTGTGTGTGTGTGTGTGTGTGTGTGTGTGTGGTAAGGGAAAGAAGGATTTCCATGCAAATTTATCCACAAACATTTATCACATTGTTTAATATTTTTAAAAATATGATTAGCATTATGTACATTTTCCCTTTTATTCTGGGGCTAAGTAATGCAGCCTGGAGCCACCGTAAATTTTAATACTATAAGCCATCATTCAGAATTCAGATTATCAGAATGATCAGTTTACATTAATCAAATGTTACTACAGATTTAATATAAAAAATAGGTATCTTCTTATTTTATTTATTCGTATCTCCTCCTCAGCATCTACCACAGTAATCTGGAAACAATAACTGTTTATTAAACATCTGTTAAAATTTTCAATTCTATTAATCTTTTGTTTATTTATAACACTCAGGAAAAGGGAGAAACTGTGAAGAAACACAAATACCTTATCCGAAGAATAAAATTTTGTTATTTTATTGATTTCATCCCATTTTGGTTATAATTACATTATTCTCTCAAATGCAAATCTGGCTGAAGATGTTTTGATCTGCCTCTTTCATATGCCTAACGTATCTAAGAACCATGAAGTTCAACAGCTATCTTCCCAGTCCAAAAATTTAAAAAATCTTTAGCTATCATAATTCTTCAAAAAGGCAATCCATTGGTTCACACAACAAATTGGTTTACAGCAACAGTATATAGTCATAGAATAAAGTTCTATCTTGGAGTAAATGTAGAATATTTATTAAACTTGGGAGTGGTAGGAACCATACTGCCAAAGGGATGGGCTGCCTCATATAAATAAAAACTTTCAAACCCTGAAAAGAAAATAGTAACCAAGTTTTATGTGTTTATGTCTCAATGGCGAAAGTTCCCACTGAGATTAATATTAACATTGTAAATCATAGTAAAACATAACATTAACATTTTTAATTGAAAAAATAAAGAAAAGAAGAATGTCTCTTTTTTTAGACTGGGACTATAAACCCAAAGACCTTGACTACATTCCATTTAATGTGGCCCAATAAATATCCATTTCATCATCTTGTTCCATGTTTTTCTACTTCTATCTTCACTTGCAAATCTATTTGTTTTAATTTTTCTATGGTAATTAATTTATATATTTTCTTTTTTCTTTTTCTAAATTGTAATTTATTTATTCACTTATTCAACAATTATTTATTTTTAATAACACGATGCAGTACTGTATAAACTTATGTATTGAATGAGGTGATCAAAATATTTTAATGATACATGCTCACTTATAATGCATCCCTTTAGTAATAAAATAAGTAATTATTTCCAAAATATATTTTGTAAATTACTCTGTAAAAAACAACATATATTAATAATTAAGTTTTCATGACTTTTTTCTTTGAATAATTAAGCTAGAATGGATTACAAGATGTTATTTTTGCTCACTATTAATTTTATTTAATCCTATGGACTTTCAGTATGAAACATAGGTAAAATTGGTTATTAGAACTTAAAAATGAATATGAATATGTGGCTGTGAAGAAATATACTGTTTTCAATCAGATTTGTTGATTGATTTGGAAAATTAATTATTGCAGTTATAATTATTAAGAAACTAAAATTGGATTGATGCAGTTATACTGACTCTAAAACAATATTTACACTAAGGTTGTCCACATGTTTCAAGAAACATACCAGGTCACTATAAAATAAATTTGTAATTCAATAAGAGATTATATATTATGAGATGATATAAAATAAATATAGAACCAAATCATTGCTACTAATACCATTTAAGGGACTTTCTCACACAAACTTGATGTAAATTTAAATATAAATTAACTAAAATTACATAAAATCAAAAATTTAGTTCTTCAGATGCTTAAGCCACATTTCAAGTGCTCAATAGTCACATATGACTAATACCTACCAAACTGGATGGAACATGTATAGAACATTTCCATCATTGCAGAAATTTCTGTTGGGCAATATTATAATAATATTTTTCCTTATATCTTTATAGTTATTTTTTAAATAGTGTTTCACATTTGAAATTTTATTTCATAATACTGTATGAGTCATGGGTGAGTTTACATGCTAGGTAATTATTTATTCCTGGAATATAAAATGCATTTTAATACTTTGTTTAAATAGGTTACTCTTTTATATAAATTATTTTAGGAAAGATTTTTATATATTCAATAAAAAAATGTATATAAAGATGCAATATTTGATTAAATTATTATGGCTTAAATAGTTTGGTGGCAGATTTGGGAAGTTTGGTGGAACCAACCCAGTAACAGGCAAAGTAAATGTAAGCCAAGTGAGACCACTAGATAATTTATGTCCAGCAGTGGACCAGAGAATATAAGCATCAGAACTGCACATTTCTTCCTTATAGAAACTGTACTTATGATACCACTGTGATTCATGATCACCTTCTAACTTTTCTGTTTATTGAAAGGATGGTCCTTTGATCATCAGATTAATTAGGCATTATGAATTTGGCTAATTTTTCACTCTCTATTCTGTCTAGCCCTTCATACAATAATTGCTAACATCATTTGAAAGTTCTCTATGGTACCAGAAAATGATTCACAACTAAGGGGGAATTCATTAACTCACAATCTTCATAATAACTGCATAAGATAGTAACATTATCTTTGCTCTATACTTGAATAAATTGATGATCGATGTAATATAATCATTGTCAAAGCTGTGCAGCTACCAAAAGCCAGAATATTACACTGAGCGTTCTGCTTGTAACCACTACAGGTACTTCCCTTTGTTGTAAAGAAACTGTAAAATTCCCTTTGTGTAAATAAACTGACTTTATTTACACCTCTGGACTAACCTTCCAAAGGGAAGATAACTTACTAATGAGTTATATGTTTTAAAACATTTGCGATATTCACAAAGAAAAAAAAAACACCCAAAAGAAAGAGAAAGGAAAAGAGATTGGAAAGTAGCACAGAGAGAATCAAAACACAGAAAAGAAAAAGAGAAGGAAGGAGAAAGAAAGGAAGAATTAGTAAGAGAGAAAACAGAATAATGAAAAGTTAAGAAAATATGAGAGACTGTAACTAAAGACAAGAAAACAAAGGCAAAACATGGATTTCTGCCCATCAGTGTGCAGTTCTCAGTGTGAACATTATTGATACATACATTCTAGACAGTACATTCTAGACAGTACTGTGTAACAAAGCCCACTCCTTCAACAAATACTGTGGGCACTTGCTAGTTTCTAGAAGTTCTCTAGGTGATTAAGATACAAGAGTGAATGAAATAGACTAATGTAATTTCATTTTCATTCTAACGGAGGGAAAAAGCTACTAAACATAATAATGTGTATGAATTTAGATATGGAAGTCCACTCTGATAAGGTGAAATTTGGATAAAAGTCAGGAAATCTGAGGGCGCAAGCAATAAAAAATACAGAAAAAAGCATTCTGTGCATCCTTTAGATTTGGCTCTGATGATGCAGTCTCCCAGGGATTTGCTCATTTACATTCCAATAAAGCTTGTCCAGATTTACCAGGCTCTAATCTTTTTTCTACTATCTCTTTACTTAGAATCTGAAAAAAAAAAAAAACCACACAATCTGCTTGCTAAGTAAGCAGTCACCTTTATTATATCTGAAGTTTTTAAAAATAATTATATTAGTTTCTAAAGATATTCTCTTTTGTTTTAATTTTCCATCAAAATGGAAAACTTATTATTTCCAACTTCTGTTAACTTTTATTATCACACTGATGATAGCCTTTCCTGACTTTCATTTTTCCACTTCAGTTCATCTTTTGAAATCATGACCTGCATTTTGTCATTGCCTAATTAAAACCTACCATATAATTTTTGCTCTGTCTTATTACACTCAAACATTTCAATCCAGTGTAAAACAATGAGTGGTTGTAAAAGGAAAAAAAAGAAAGAGGGCTACATTATAGATTAAATTGTGTGTCTACCCCTACCCGCAATTCATATGTTGAAATGCTAATTTCTGGTACTTCACAATCTGATCTTATTTGGAAATAGGGTCATTGCAGATGTAATTAACTAAAGAATTAACTAAAGTGAGATCATTAGGGTGGGCCCTAACCTGATATGACTGGTATCCTTATAAAAAAGAAAAAAAGGGAGATTTGATCACAGAGACACACAAACAGGGGAAAAATACCATGTGAAGATAAAAACAAAAATTAATATTCATAAAAGCCAAGGATCACCAAAGATTGCCAGAAAATCACCAGAAGATGGGCGCAATGGTTTGAATGTGTCCCCCGAAATTCATATGCTGAAACTTAATTGCCAGTGTCATAGTTTTTAAGGGTAGGAACTTCAGTAGGTGGTTAAGTTATGAGGGCTCCTCAACCTTATAAAAGGACTGGAGGAAACTAGCTAGACCCTTTTACTTGTCTGTCCCTTCTGTCATGTGATGATACACCATATGTTTTCCCTAGAAGTTGCTAGGGGCCTTTTGTTGGAGTTTTTAGGGTGTTCTAGGAAGAGAATCATACTGTCAGTGAAGAGGGATAATTTTATTTCTTCTGTCTCTATTTGGATGACTTTTATTTCTTTCTCTTGCCTGATTGTTCTGGCTAGCACTTTCTCATAGAATTAGAAAATCTATTCTAAATTTCATATGAAACCAAAAAAGAGCCCAAATAGCCAAAGTAATCCTAAAAAAAAGAACAAAATTGGTGGCCTCACATCATCTGACTTCGAAGTATACTGTAAGACTACAGTAACCAAAACAGTATGGTACCAGTAGAAAAACAGACCTCTAGACCAACAGGATGGAATAGAGAGCCCAGAAATAATGCCACACACCTGTAGCCATCTGACCTTCAACAAAGTTGACAAAAATAAGCAATGGGGAAAGAACTCCCTATTCAATAAATGATGCTGAAATAGCTGGCTAGCCGTTACAGAATGAAACTGGACCCGTACCTTTCACCTTACACAGAAATTAACACAAGATGAATCAATAATTTAAATATAAGGCCTTAAACCATAAGAATCCTAAAATAAAACCTAGGAAACACTATTCTGGACGTTGAGTTTGGGAAAGAATTTATGAATAAGTCCTCAAAAGGAACTGCAACAAAAACAATTGACAAGTGGGATCAAATTAAATGAAAGGACTTTTATACGGTAAAATAAACTATTAACACAGTAAACAGACAACCTACAGAATGGGATAAAGTATTTGCAACTATGCATTTGACAAACATTTAATATCCAGAATCTATAGAGAACTCAAATAATTTAACAAGCAAAAAACAAGCGACCCCATTAAAAAGCAGGTAAAGACATGAAAAGACACTTCTCAAAAGAAGACGTACAAATTGTCAACAAACATAGGAAGGAATGCTTCACATCACTAATCATTAAATACGTGCAAATTAAAACTACGATGAGATACCATTTCACACCACTGAGAACAGCTATTATCGAAAGGTCAAAAAACCACATATGCTGGCAAGGCTGTGGAGAAAAGATCATTTAAATACTATTGGTTAGAATGTAAATTAGTTTAGCCACTGTGGAAAGAGTTTAGAGATTGCTCAAACAACTAAAAATAGAAGTATCTTTCTATCCAGTAATCCCATTACTGGGTATATACCCAAAGGAAAATAAATCATTCTACCAAAAAGACACATACATTTGTATGTTCATTGCATCACTACTCACAAGAGCAAAGACAAGAAATGACCCTAGGTGCCCATCAATGGTGTGTTGGAAAAAGAAAATGTGGTACATATATACTATGGAATAGTACATAGCCATAAAATGAATAAAATTATGTCCTTAGCAGCAACATGGATGAAGCTGGAGGCTGTTCTCCTGAGTGAATTAACACAGAAACAGAGAACCAAATATTGCATCTTCTTGTGTATAAGTGGGAACTAAACGTTCTGTACACATGGACATAAAGATGGGAACAATAGAAACTGGGGACTACTAGAGTAGAGAGAGAGGGAGCAAGGGCTGAAAAACAAACTATTGGGCACTAGGCTCACTACTTGGGTAATAAGATTAATCGTACCCCAAAACACAGCATCATGCAATATCCCCTTTAATAAACCTGTACACATACTCCCTGTTTCTAAAAATAAAAGTTGAAACAAAAAAATAATTCTAAGGGTGCCAACTTGGAAGCAGAGACCAGACCCTCACCAGACACTGAATATTCTGGAGCCTTGATCTGGAACTTCCTGGTTCTGTGAGAATTGGGAAAGAAATATATTTCTTTACTTAAGAAATTTATTTAATAACTGTGATAAATAAATTTCTATTGTTTATGTCTCACAGATTTTAGCAGAAACGATGGACTAAGACACCAGGGAAAAAGCATGTATCAGAGTCTCTCTCATAGTTTTCAGAAGAAACCAACCCTAACAAGACCTTTATAATGGACTTCTCGGCCTTGAAAACTGTGAGATAATAAATTTCTGTTGTTTAAACCACCCATATTGTAGTACTTTGTAACAGCAGGCCTAGCAAACTAAAAGAGGCTAAAACAAATTTAAATAACCTGAATTACTTCAGTTTGGCTATTTTTTTTCTTACTTCAAATGAAGAAATTTGAATATTATTGAATGAGTAAAAACAAATTCATATTACTAATTACTTTCTTCCATAAGGTAATATTCCATATTGTCTTTTTGATTCTGATATTTTGTTTTGTTCCATGATATTTTGCATGTTCCAAATAAACAGATTAGTTAATATTTTAAAACCTTAGTGAATGAAAAGTTTGACAAGGCAAAATTAAGAGAGTGCAAGTTAATTATTTCCACAGAGTCATAGGACTTTCAGCTGCAGTCACAAGATTGGTACTCTTAGCAGTGTGACTTTACAGCCCTGCTTCTACATATGAGGCTTTAATTATTCTCTAACAAAGGAAAAGAAGATTGAGGTCAGTGTCAGAAAGTAAGCGTGCTCTTGTAGAAGAGTTGATGAATTGAAGTCCACTGAAGTGCCTGAAATTTAAATAGTAGAAAACGTAACATATAATAAAAACAGATTTTTAAAAAACTTCCTATGAACCAAGAGTTATGCAAAATGTGCATGTATACAACATTTGATCTCCACAACCAACAGCAACCATTATTATTTACATTTCTTATAGTAAAATAAAGTCCATAGAGATTATAAGTTTCTTGAAGTAGGTCACAAAATTAGTTGGAGGCAATTCCAGCATTCCAATTCAGGTAGCCTAATGCTAGAATCCAAGAGCTGAATAAATCTAGGCAGAACTAGAAAAGTCAAGGATTATTATCCTCCCTTAACAAAAGTAGAAACCAAAAAAACTTACCAACCAGACAAACAAGTGAAAAATACAGCAAGCATAATGGCGTTTCCTGTTACCTCTCTTCACCAGATTCTGCATTCTCATCTGTGGCACAAGAACAAAATAATCATAACACATAGTAGGCAGGATCTATTTAACTGCCTTTTAATTTTTTAGCAACTTTTGATATTTACATGGCACATGATTTTAAAAACTATTATGAAGCATAATTCATAGAGTAAAAGAGCAGACAGCATAAATATATAGCTGGCTGAATTGTGACAAAATGAACCAACATGGACCACCACCATGTCAAGGATAAAACTTTGCATGTCAGATCCCTCCCTGTGCCTCTCCTAAATATGCTTCTCTACCTCTGCAACACATGTCGATACCATTATGCTTCTAATACTTTAAGTTATATTCTGTATTTTAAAAGTTTATTTAGATAGAATCAAATAAAATACTAGATATCCTTATGTGTCAACCTTGTTGTAGAACATTATTTAAAGAATTGCCCTATGTAATTTACTTTTCAATTTTATCACTGCATAGTATGTACAACTTATTGATCTGTTTGACAATTCTGAAATTTAGGCATTTCTAGAGTTTAGCTATTATGTAAAATGGGATTATGAACATACCTGTGTGTGACCCTTGGTACATATGTGTATGTTTGTCTGTTGGGTATGTGACTAAGAGTAGAATGATTTGATTATAGGTTACACATATCAAAGTTAATACACAATTCTGGTTTTTAGCAGTATTTGCAATAGTATAGACAGTGACAGTATTACATTGATAATTTTCCTTGCTTCACATGCTTACCAACATCAGGTTGTTATCAGTCTTTTCACTTTATTCATTTTGCTGGTCATGGAAATAGTGTCCGTATTTAAATTTTTATTTTTATTTCCCATGTTAGTAGTAAGCTTGAGATCATTTTGCATGTTTATTGGTCCTTTAGTCAACATGCTTCATGAAGTGCCCAGTGAATCTAATTTTCTATTGGTTTATCTGACTGCTTTTTGAATTTGCAAAAATTTATTGTTTATTATTTACTTATCTCAGACAGAATCTCACTCTGTTGCTCAGGCTAGAGTGCAGTGGCACAATCAGCGCTTGCTGCAGCCTTGACTTCCCAAGTTCAAGGGATCCCTGGACCTCAGCCTCCCGAGTAGCTAGTACTACAGGTCTGAGCCTCCACACCTGGCTAATTTATTGAATTTTTTGTAGAGATGGGGTTTCACTATGTTGCCCAGGCTGGTCTTGAACTCTTGAGTTCAAGTCATCCTCCTGCCTCAGCCTCCCAAAGTATTAGGATTACAGGCGTGAGCCACTGCACCCAGTCTTATTATTTATTTTGAATATATTTAAACCCAGAAGAAAATGATCCCTTGTTGTTCATTTATGTTGCCAATATATTTCACTTTGTGGCTGGCCTTTCAGTACTCTTAACCCATAATTTGATGCTCAGAATTTCTTAATTTTAACGTTGTAATTTAAATGTCGGTTTATTTTTATCCTATTTAAGAACACTTTAAGGACATGAAGATTTTCTCTTATAATATCATCTTTATTATTTTGCCTTTAATATTTGACAGTTTATCTTTGCCATTTGCCATTGATATCTACGATCCACATGGGATTGATTTTTGTTTAGGGTATGAGGTATAGGTCAAGTTTCATATTTTTAACTGTAGATATTGAATAGAACAGTCAACTCAGCACAGTTGACTGAAAACACTGTCCTTTACCCACTCTTGTAGTGCCACTTGTCATAAATTAACTATACAAATTTCCAGTAGATGTGTGGGTTTCTGCCTCTTTAGTCTATTCCGCTCTGCTATTTGACTACCTTTGCATTAAAACCACCATGTCTTGATTACTATAGCATTATAGTAAGTTTTGATAACTGGAACAATTTCCTCAACCTTGTTATTCTTCAAGAATGTCTTGGTTAATTTTGCTCATTTGAGTGTCCACATAATTTTTTTTTTTTTTTTTTTAAGACGGAGTCTCGCTCTGTCACCCAGGCTGGAGTGCAGTGGCGCGATCTCGGCTCACTGCAAGCTCCGCCTCCTGGGTTCACGCCATTCTCCTGCCTCAGCCTCCCGAGTAGCATGTCCATATAAATTTTTAAATCAGCTGCATCAAATTAAAATTATAGATCAATTTAGAGAGATTTGGCATGTTAGCAGTATTAAATTTTTCAGTTCATAAAAATGTATTTTTTTAAAAAATAACTTATTAATAGAGTCATAAGATCTATTTTTGTGGCTCCCTGTATATTTTGTATTTTGATACTGCTCATATTACATATAAAATACAACATTTGATTACTGTCTTGTATGCAATGCCTGCTAAATTGGCTTGGTAAATAAATGATTTATTTGAAAATTGTTTTGTATTTTTTGTATATAATTATATATCTGCAAATAACAATAGTTTCTTTCTTTACAATTCTAACACAACCTTAAATCTTTTTTTATTGTATTGTCTAGGAACTCCAGCACAGGTCAAGAAAATAAGCTGTGATAGGAGATCTTTTATTGTTGATATTGAGTGTGACTCTTGTAACTTTTTATCATTAAGTGTAATATTTTCTATAATTTATATGTAGTTACCCTTATCAGATTTTATACAGTCTTCATTATTTTTGGTTTGTTCAAGCTAGTTATCAAAAATTTTTGTTTAAAATTTCATTAAAATATTTGCTCCTTTTTAATTAATCAAATATTTTGTATCTGTATTACATTCATATGTTTAATTACGTTGATTTAATTTAAATGTTAAATCAACTTCATATTCCTGGAGTAACTTGAATTAGTTGTAATATATTTTTCTCTTTATTATTCTTTCTATATACAGTTGTATTTGTTCTGCTAATATTCTGTTAAAGGATATTTTAAATATGTATATGAATAAGATCAATTTGCATTTTGTTTAACAGCTTAGTATCAAGGCTGTTCTAGCTTGATAAAATAAATGAAAAAATGTTTCCTCCTTTTTAATTATCTGGCAAGGTTTGTGAAAATTGGTATGATTTCTTTAAGTTGAATGGTGAATAAACCTCATCGTGAAGTATTTGTTTGTTTTTGTTTGATTTCACTGAGAAATTTTTTAAAGATTCTGTTTTTGAAAATAGTGTTTTATTTCTGGATCAATTTCAGTAAACTGTATTTTCAAGGAGATTATTCATTTCATCTGAAATTTTAAATTCATTGACATCATTATTTATGATATCTTTTTTGATAGTTGAAAATAACATTTTATTGATAAATGCAACACAAATAGAAAAATATGAAGACAAATGTAGTTTACATATTACCATTAAGCAAATACTCTTATGACCATCACAATTTATAACATTTTTTAATACCTTGGGTCATAGGGTGGGGATAATAATATCAACTTTTCAAAATATCTACAAAAGAGTACAGGGGTTAATCTGAAAAAAACATTGCAGAAAGGTACAATGATGGGTGAGCATGACTGGTGTCTGTTTACATGGTGCAACTTGTGAAGACCTCATTAGCTAGTGTGAAATGTGGTTTTTGACAGTGCTTGAAAGAAAATTCAGGAAAATAAATTGAGACAGTTTAGAAAACAATGAAAGTCCAGGATTTTTTTGGAGGCACTGTTTGATTTTGAATTATAGAAGATATTTAATGTTTTCAATCTTTTATGGAACAACGAAGATAGCTCTCATAAAGATAGTTTTTTCTATCGTTTACTTGTTGTGATTCCTTTTTTGTAACATACTCTCAGGTTGGAAAAGCAATGGAAAACGAATGAAATTAATATATTATTCATAGGTGCCAGTACTTTTATTCTACATAGGCTTCCTTAATTGGAATGTTTTTAAACAAAGAACTTATTTTGGCCAATTAAATTCACACTATGTGAATTATATGCATCATTACTAAACAATGACATAAACTCAACTAAACAGATGTTTACCTGAAGCAGGCATATTTTGGCCGCTTATCCCTCTGGCTTGGAAGAACCATCTGGTCAAATGTTTTTCACAGTATTTTATAGTAGTTATGATGTTAAGTCTGTGAGAACAGACAGGCACAGATGCAGATCTTGTTTTTGTCATTTACTACAAGTGGAACCTCAGACATATATGCTTCAGTTTCTCCCTACGTAAAATTCAGATAATATTATTTCGAGGGTTTGTGGTGATATGAATAACATCTATCATTTATTGATCTCTTACTATGTGTGCAAAGCTCTGCTAAGTTATTTACATACACTAGTCCTCACGAAGTATGTTATGATTTAGGCTTTTGCCCTAGAAAGAAATGAATAGATTAGACTTACGATATATGACTGTTTTTAATTTGGGTCCTCTATGTCTCTTTGGTCTACTTAGTGGGCAGAAAAAAATTACAAACAAGAGACGTTTTAGTCTTCTGTAGGTGGTGAGCGAATGCAAAGAATGTAAATGGGGCAAATTACTTTTAACTCATCTGAGAAAGGAAAAGGAGCTGAAATCAGAGGTGCTAATAAATAAATGTAAAGGTGTAGAAACTCCTAAGGAAAGGGTTTTCCATACCAAAACATTATCCTTATCTTAATTTTTAAAATTCCACAGTTTACATGGTATTTTATTTTATTTAGCATATCTTATCAAGCACATTTGCCATTCTACCCATCAAATTGATGCCTAATCTATCATTTACAAGGACAGACATAAGAGGAAATAAACTGAATTCAATCTTTGCAAAGTTTAAATAAGGTACATAATATATATAGTGTGCTTAATTTCACTTCATACAAGGTTATAGATTACCAATCTTACACATAAGTTATTAAAGAAAAGTAGGAAATTGTCATAAAATGTAGATTTTATAATGTTTACTTGTATTTTTTTTTTTACCAGAAAGCAGGTGTTTTGCTTTTAGCAAACTTTTGTTTCTTCACATTACCAACAATCAATAAGTCACAGGCATTAACAAGGAATGCTTTATTGTTCAGAAGCAAATAATACCCTTAATGAGTTATTATGGATTTAAACATTGTGAATGTGCCACATTTAGTGAATATTTAGGACGATGCACATGCAACATCCATAAGATCACAAGTGAGCCTGAAAACAGTTACTGAACTGCACTGGAGCATTTTCAAAGCCTCATTTGCTTCCCTGCCCTCTTCAAAAATGATATAAAAGCTCCTGTAAGCCAAGAGTCAAGGACAGAGTACCTAGGAAAGTACTTCTTTAAAGCCTTAAGAAAATAAAACAGAGCTTTTCAAAGCCGAGTATTCATAATATTTAAATTACAGAGGACAAATGAGCGTGATGGTAAAAAAAAAAAAAAATCAAATATTAGCTAATTCAGAAAAAGCACTTGGCAATGTTTAATTTTATCCCTGTGATCCCATAAAGGAGTGATAGTTAAAGAAACTGTCTCATCTTTCTGTGTTCCAGGAAGCTACTTATTGCAAAGAAACAGCTTTCCCCCTGTGACTTAGATAAGGATTCAAGAATGCTCCCTTGTTTACTTACGAAAAGACCAGGCACAGACCCTTTAAATACCTAATAAGTGATTAACTCAGCTGTTTTTTTCCCGACTAATCAATGGGAACAGAATGCTTCTGAATCAAACTTTAATTAAGTTTCTCTGCTTCCCACAGGCCCCTGAACTTTGACCACAAGCTTGAGGCTGTATACAAACCCCTCCTTAACAGACCCTCCAAGAATTAGCTAGCCTCCTTCTCTGATACACTACTCTATCACTGACACCTTCAAACTGTGATCCTTTTCATCTCTTTCCCACAACATGTTTTTTCTGAATTTTTTTATTCTCTTTATAAAAGAAAAGCACTTTTGTACCTAACTTTTGATACACTTGCTTATATCATGGGTAATTGGTATATTCTTCCTGTTGTGATATTGTGTTACAATAATCTATTCACCTAAAGTCTCTTCTTATCTAAATCCTGATTTGCTCTTTATTTGACATACTTCAGAGTAAATATGACCTATAAAACTTAAGTTTTTCCTGATTTTAAAATAAATGAATAGATAAGTAAATGATAAATTAAAAAACTAATCTATCAATCAATCCAATGGGAAATTTTGTCATCTTCACTGTAACATTTATTGTTCAAACCAAAATTAAAAGCAAGAATGATCTAGTCATGAATTACTCTACTCACTGCTACTCCTCATCACTTTGGCCTCGTATCTTCTCTCACACACCTTTAATCAGCATTAACATTCTTGACAGTAAGGTGCAAGACATTCATAAAAATGGAAGAATTAACTATTTTAAATGTTTATTTCATTTTGATTCTATTGTGGGCATTTTTAATTCTCATTTCTGCAGGCAAATAACTTTTTACACAAGTAAACATTTAGAAATCTGGATAAGTATTTAATAAATATAATAGTTATTGATAAGAATTAACTATTTTCCTCCAATATAATACCCTTTGTTAGCAGTCATACTAATTATAATATCTTTGAATAGAATTTGGTTGCTTATAGAAGAATTTCCAAATTTCCCTTTTCAACTTCCAAAGACAAATTAGAGGAGTTGAATTATTTCCTGCTATTTATCAAGGAGGAAAATTTTAGTGAAGCTAAAAAAAGTTCCGATTTCACATAAAGTGTGGAATTCTTCTGATTAGTAATATGCTTTCTGTATTAGAAAGTAAAAGCATTGTTTGCAATAGAACCTAGTAGTTAGATGTTTGTGAAATGGATTTTTGTTTTCTTGTTTTATAGAGACAGGGTCTAACTATGTTGCCCAGGTCCGTCTAGAGCTCTTGGGCTCAAGTGGACCTTTTGCATCAGCCTCCTGAGAAGCTGGGATTATAGGCATGTGCCAACACACCCATCATGAAATGGATTTTTTTCCTAGTTGCTAGAAGAATTAAGCTATCACTCTACTAGATTGAACCAACTATCCTTAATCTAAATGTTTGCTGCTATTTCTGCCCTGGCTTATTGCTTTTTGTGAGTCCTTAAAATTTCTCTCTCTCTCTTTTTAAGTAGGTGAGAATAGAATAAGAAAAACACAAAATGATATTTACTTATAATTACTGCTAAGAATCTTTAGCGTCTTGAGAACAAAATTTTTCAAAGTTTTATTAAGGCAGTCTTCACTTAATAGGAATTATTCCTCTTTCAACTTTTAATCATTCATGGATCATAAGTCAAAAAGACAAGTACATCTTTTTAAAAGACTCATTTAAAATGTTTCTGTCACAATTGGTGAGACATTGATGCGAAGACAAGAGGAAAATTCTTTGCAGTTACAACCTTTTATCTGGAATTTTGGTTCAACCACTTATTTGCAAAGTAGCATTTAATGAACCATTTAACCTTTCCCTTAAAATCAGTTCTCACATCTGTTAAATGGGGTTGATAATCACTACCTCAGAGAGTTTTTGTAAATATAAAATGAAAGCAGAAGCAAAGTACTTTATCAAATGCTACGTGCCATACAAATGTTACTCATTATTGTACTATAAGGAGCTTAAGGGAATGAGGAGTTCCCCCAGTGATTTAATATTTAATAATTTAATATTTCAATGAAAATATCTTTTAACCGTATTTTGTGTTCATAAAGGAATTTGTATATTGTGAAAAAAGGAAACTTATTAATCAAATATCAATAAGAATGTATCCCACTAGTAATTTTTCACTTTTTCCAGTGAGGACAATAAGTGTGTGTGTGTGTGCGTGTGTGTGTGTGTGTGTCTGTGTCTGTGTCTGTGTGTGTGTAGGAGTGGGCCAACATAAAACACTTCTCAAAGCCCACACTCGTTTATTAACTCTCATGTTGCACTCTGCCACTTTGGTTCTGGTACTTGGACTTCTACATTTTCAGTGGAATTCCAGCAGGATTATTTAAATAATGGTTAAACCACCAAGGTTCTGATGAGATTTCTTTCTTGAGCAATTTGGCTCCTATTACAATTGAGCTTTGCACTCTACTTTACACCTATTGCACGTACTATATGGTTTTAACTGACTTAGTTTAGAAGACTCCCAGGAGTTGCTAGGAAACCTTTCTGTGTTCTTTCACTTTTCATACAGCATCAGTGTTTCAATGCTAAGGCTATACCTGCGGGTACAGGAGAATGTAGGCAGAATCAAACAATGACAGCAAGGCTATGGCATAGATAATCACCCTCTCAAAGTTTCTTGTTTTTCATGTAGATAATAGGAGATTATACAAGTACGTAAAAGAATATTACATGTTTTCTTTAATACAAAATATTTAGCAAAGAGGTTTCAAGAATATATATGTATTCTTGAATATACATATTATTGAATATATATACATATATATAGTTTTTCTGTTCTTATTCTTTAGATTCTGGTTTTCTCTTAGATCTCTTCAGTACTGCAAGGCAAATTATTTCCAAGGCAAAGATGACTGAGAATTTATAAAGTTTTAAACAAATATTTTTGTCAAAAATACCTGTCATTCCTATACCTTGCATATAAACTCTATTTTTATTTTTTTGGTACAAAATTATCTTCTGTTATTTTGTAAGTTCTTGTTTCTTAAAAAATTAGATAATTTCAAAATAACAGGAAAAACAGTTCTAATTCATCAAAACCAATTAAAATAGCAGGTCAATCTGATGTTGTTACCTTTTAGCATTCTTGATTATGTAAACTTTTGGCACCTCATATAAGCAAATATAGCACGCAGGAAAAATTATGAAATAAAATTCATATAGAGAAATAGTAATAAAAGAGGTGACTGTTGCTGTATCATTTATATTTTTCATTAAAATGAACGAGAAATTATTTTGTACTTTTCACTTTCAGAAAAGTAATACTCTTCAATCTTCTGCAAGATATGAATGTGTACGTATTCTAGATAGAAAAACTAGTTCAATCATGACTATTTTTTAGAATAACGTTTCATAATGACACATTTTTCTTAAACTACCGTACTGGTTCTTTTCAATAGCTTCAAATGTCATTTTTAAAGGTTAACTGCAAAGAGCCTGTTGAATCTATTCCAGTTTCAAGTCTTTTATTATTTTTCCATGGATGTTTCAAAGTCTTTGTAATACTGCTGAAGCTGTTCATCTGTGATTGCACTGCTCAGAATTGTGTATGTGTCAACTAATTATCCCAAACAATAGTTAATATGGCAATTGTGAAAGACATTGTAGGACATGATTCTGGGTTTAAAGAAAATATTTATCTGCTTTTAAATATGCTGGTACAGATACTATAACTGTCTTCTTATTTAGGAAAACATTTCCCCGAAAAGGTAGATTTGATTTTTTAATGGTTTGGCCAATATTCTGAGTTTTTTATGTCTAAGACCTATATTCCAATCATTTTATTGTGTGTTGAACAACAAAGCACTTAGCTAATTAGGGAATAGTTTAAAAATTGGGTTAAGTGGGAAGCAAAAATTCTATTTTTATTCACCCAAAGATGAAAAATAAAAAAGCTTAATAGTTTCCCTTCCTTCCTTCCTTCCTTCCTTCCTTCCTTCCTTCCTTCCTTCCTTCCTTCCTCTCTTTCTCTTGCTCTCTCTTTCTTTTTTTCTTTAGTGAGAGTAACTAAAATCTCTCTTGGCGAATTACCAGTATACAATACAGTGTTATTAATTCTAGTCCTCATGTTGCCAATCAGGCCTCTAAATTTATTTAGCCTACGTAACTGCATCTTTAAACCCTTTGACCTATGTCTTTCCATTCCCCTTCCCCTCCCTGCAACCACCATTTTACTGTGTTTCTATATGTTCAATTTTACTATTTTTTTTCAGATTCCACATGTAAATAAAATCATGCAGTATCTTTCTTAATGTGTCTGGCATCTCACCTTTAGCATAATGCCCTTTAGTTTCATTCATTTTGTTGTGAATGCCATGGTCTCCTTTTTTTAAGGTTCAATAGTATTCTAGTGCATGTGTCTGTGTATGTGTGTGTGTATATATATATAACCATATTTTATCCATTCATCTGTTAATGAACGGCTCTGTAGTTTTCCTATCTGGACTATCATTAAAAATGCTGCAATGAATGTGGGAGTGCAGACATCTTTGCAAGGTGGTGATTTCATTTCCTTTAAGTATATATCCAGAAGGAAGATTGCTGGATCATCTGGTAGTTCTACTTTTAATTTATTTGGGAACGCCCAGACTCTTTTCCACAGTGACTGCACAAATCTAAATTCCCACGATCAGTATACAAGGGGTTCTTTTTCTTCATACTCTTACCGAAAATGATTCCTTCTTTTTTTTTAATAAAAGCCATCCTAGAAGGTGTGAGATGATATCTCATATGGTTTTAATTTGTATTTATCTGATAACTGATATTGAACACACCTCTTTATATACCTGTTGGGCATTTTTATGTCATTTTTGAGAAATGTCTGTTCGGGTTCTTTGCCCATTTTATAACCTAGTCATATGGGATTTTGTTTTTTAGTTTTTGTTTTTGCCACTGAGTTGTGTAAGTTTTTTATATATTTTGGATGTTATCCCCTTCTCAGTCTTATGGCTCACTGACATTTTCTCTCAATCTGTAGGCTGCCTTTCCATTTTGTTGATTGTTTCCTTTGCTGTGCAGAAGCTTTAGTTTGATATAGTCTCACTTGTTTATTTTTGCTTTTTTTGCCTGGGCTTTTAGTGTTCTACCCAAGAAATCATTGCCAAATCAGTGTCAGTGAATTTTCCCTTGTATTTTCTTCCAGGAGTTTTATATTTTCAGGTCTTACATTTAGGTCTGTAATCCATTTTGAGTATATTTTTTGGTATGATGTAGAAAAAAATTCAATTTTATCCTTTTGCATGTGGATATCGAGTTTTTCCAGTGTCATTTATTGAATAGAGTATCCTTTCCCAAAACAGTGTCTTCTTGGTGACTTTGTTGAAAATTAGTTGACTTTGTATGATTGGGATTATTTCTAGGCTCTCTATTCTATTCCATTGATCTATATGTCTGTTTTGTACCAGTGTCATACTGTTTTGACAACTGTAGCTTTGTAATAGACTTTTAGGTACGGTAATATGATTCTGATTCTTCTAGCTTTGTTTGTTTTTCTTAAGATTTCTTTGGCTATTCAGCATTTTTGGGGTTCAATGTAAATTTTAATATATTTTTTCTACTTTTGTGAAAAATGTCATTGGAATTTTGACAGACATGCATTGAATCTGTAGATCACATTGGGTAGCACAGACAATCTAACAATATTGATTTTTTCAATCAGGAACACTAGATATCATTTTATTTGTTTAAGATGCTTCCAATTTCTTTCATCAGTATTATAATTTTCAGTTCACAGATCTTTCATATCTCTGGTTATACTCATTCCTAAGTATTTTTCTGCTCTTGTAAATGAGATTTTCAGTGTTTTTTTCAGATATTTTGCTGTTAATATATAGGAAAGCTACTGATTTTCATATTTGATTTTGTATCCTGCACTTTTAACAAATGAGTTTATTAGTTCTACCAGTGTTTTGGTGGAGTTTTTTAGGGTATGCTATATATAAAATCATATCATGTGTCAACAAGCGATTTAACTTTTTTCTTTCCTGTTGGATGACTTTTATTTCTTTTTCTTGCCTAATTCCTCCAGTTAGGATATCCAGTACTATGTTGAATAGAAGAGGCAAGGGTGGGCATTTTTATCTTGTTCCTAACCTTAGATTAAAATTTTTCACTTTTTTGCCATTGAATACAATGTTAGCCGTAGACTTGTCACATACGGCCTTTGAGGTATCTTTGAGGCCAAGGAAAGGTGTCCCGTGAGCAGTTAAGTGCACAGCAGTAGAGCTTGGAAAAGGTCTAGGCTTAAGTCCTGAATTTATGCTGCATCTTTTTGTAAGATGATCATTACAGCATGGAAGAGATCATCTTAGAAAAAGTAAGAAAAGAAAATAGCGCCGAGAATCAACCATAGGAAAACTGCAACATATAATGTCTGCTTAGAACAGGATAATCATTCAATGAAAAGAGGAGATTTCCAGAAAAACAGAAGGAAAACTGGGAGGCTGTTAAGATTAAGAAGCCAAAAGAAGATAGTGTTTTGAGAAGAACCTCAACAGTATCTAATTATATGATAAAGTCAAACATAAGGAACTAAAGGTGTTCATTAAATTTAATGCTATGAAGATAGTTGGCAACACAATTGAGCCTTTCCTCTTCTTGAGTAGCAGGGGTGGAAGGCAGGATTACATTTGGTGCTGGAGTGAATAAGAAGAGAAGAAACAGAGATATAAAACATTTGTTTGAAGGATTGGGCTACTGATTCAAATATTGTAGTTTATGTGAATTTTTAAGGGTAAAAATATAGATTAATCAATATACAGAATCTAATTTTTAAAATTTCCACATGCATTATCTTTAATTAGTGCGCTTTATAAATCAGAAAATAAATAAATACATTGCATACTTTCTTGAAAATAAATTAGTGAATTAAAGTTCAATTAGCCATATACAAGATGATTTCCTTTCTCTCCATAATATTTGTTCACAATCTTTATCCATCTTATATAAACAACATTAAATCATTGCTTAAGATATCAACATCAGTAATACCTGATTTTACTCCTAGCATTTTATTACCATGGCTCATAGATTCTATGATAATTACATTAAGTTTAATGAAAAGATAATAAGAATAAATAGCATTCATAATTTGGAAAAGTGGCATTCAGTAATTTATGTATCTTACCTTAAAGCTTGCAAAGGTATTATTAAATAAAAATGCTTCTGCCAAAACAAAGTGGCTAATAACTTTCTCAAAATAATTGGAAGTTTAGATAAAGATGACATGGAAAAATGAGCCTTTAATCCCTTGATAATACTGGGAGTCCTGTTAACTGCAATCATAGTGAATGGATATGAGAAATCTCTTATTAAATAATACATCCTAAAAAACTAAATAACATTTTTTTTTGTCACATGTTTGCACCACTGAAGTAATAACAGCACGGATGCAGGTAATTTTATCAGGCATTCTAGTATTATTCACAGTAAACATTTTTACTTCCCTTGAATTTCATAATTTTACATGAAATCTATTACTTTGTAAAAATTCCTCACTTCTCTGTTCTTTGCAACTGTCTGATGCCATGCCTCTCCCTCTTATCAAAGCAGATTGCGTGGGATACAAGTTATCAAGCAATGAAATCTACTCATCAAGATACTTCTCAATTTTCTAGACATTTCTTAATATAGGAAATATATTTGCTCTATTACTTCAATGCTGTTAGAGAAAATTATATGTCTTTACTCTCTATATGGAAAACGAATTAGAAAGTTCACACAGGTCCATTGTACTTGTTTTTCTCATCATGGAGGTCAATAAGAGAAGTGAAGTATAAGACCTATGCCTATTTGGGGATCAGGGCATAAGGGTCACATATATCCCAAACTTGGTTTTTCTTCTAAGTGACTATTTCTTGAAGCACTTCATGAGAAGACAGTTGGTAACATGATGATTTTACCATTTATTTGTAGGTGTTATCTAATTTATTATTTAAATTAACATGATAATTGTGCCACTTATCAGGTGTGATATTTAATTATTATTCAATACCCTGAGAGTTATTTAATATCCTGAAGCCTCAGGATATTAAGTACCCTCACCAGGATAGGGATAGTATTATATTAGTACTAACCTAACACTATTAATATTTCATAGGAGATTAAATGAATTATAACATGTAATTAGATAAATGTCTGTAATTGAAAGTTTGTAGTACATCTTAAGGTTTAATATTTTTCTTATTATTTCTTTTTTGTTGCTAAAAAATTATTCAGGCCTCATTGTTCAGCACAGAAAGAGGATTCTGGCAAACCAGTTGTGAAGTAATTGCTCTATTCCAATCAAAGAAAGGATCTTAATTATCACTACTATGAAAATGACAGGATCATGCACAAGTATTACTATTAGTTATAAGAATGAGTATAATCATCATCATCGTTGCTATAACTTGTATTTTAAATAGTAAAATATTAATATTCATAAACAACCAAGCCAGAATTCTAATTCTAGAGATTTTTATACCAAAGTTACATATTATTACTTGTTCAAATATATTGCAATAGGAATGAGATAGGAAATTAAGAAAATGACTCAAAATATTTCTGATGGTACATTCAATCGGAGTTGGGGATCTATAATCTAAGAGAGGGTGAGGTAAACGATGCTGAGGATTCTGGCCTTGAAAAGACCAATTACTTTTTCCATTTCCCTTGTTTCATGGCTGAAGTCTTGTCCCTATTTCTTGTGGGCTTTTCTGTCCTGTACTTTTAATCCAGGCAATATGCCCTGAAAGAATTTCTTGACTAGCTTCCATTCCCTCTATTCTTTAGTATAATTCTGTTCTAGTCCCTGACTGTTGGCTCCAAATTTGTTTGTGTTCCACACTGGAATTTAGAATGTATTTACTCTTCAACTTTATCTTGAACAGTGCTATTAGCTCTTTCCATTTAAATCTAACTCCAATAGTATAGCAAATTTTACTAATAACCTTCTTTCTATTTCTCTGAAAAATAGAACCAATCAGATCATACTTGAGATGAAGCCTCCCACCACAAATCTACTATGCTGTAACTTTCCCCATCAAACTTATACTTGATGAATGGTCCTCATTCAATACATGCCAGTCTCTTCCTCCTGCATTCTTTATCTCATCTCCTTTAATCTATTTGTGGATTTTTTTCCTGCAAATATCTATCTCTTACCTGAGTCATCATCTTCCCTTCCCCACTAGATAATTCCAATAAGTATACAAAACTGACTACAGATCATGCATTAAAAATGTGTATTAAAATACACCGAAAGAGAAAATAGATGGCCCCTGCTTCTTTAAAATGCACAACAAAACATTCCTTTGATCCGTTAACTTTGCTCTTGTTTCTCTTTATAGAATATTCTCTAATCTGTGGTCTATTTTTACTTCACTACAGCTTTCCACCCTCTGTGGAAAACACATTAATGGCCTTCTGAAAATGTTCATGTCCTAATCCCTGGAATCTGTGGCTCTGTTACTTTACCTGACAAAGAGGAATTTCACAGATGTGATTAAGGATATTAAGATAGGAATTTTTTCTTGATTATCTGAATAGACAATGTAATCAAAAAGGTCCTTAAAACATGGAAGATAGAGGAAGAAGGGTCAGAGAAGGAGATGTAACTATGGAAACAGACATCAAAGTGATGTAACTGTTGGCTCTGAAGATGAGTAAAGAGTTACAAGAAGAATGAGGGAAGCTTCTGGAAACTGGAAGAGACAGGCAAACAGATTTACTTTTAGAGCCTCCAGAAGGAATGCAGCCCTGTTAATACCTTGATTTTAGTCCAGTGGAATCCATTTTGGACTTCTGACCTTCAAGCCTGTTAGGTAATAAATTTGTATTGTTTGAAGCTTCTAAGTTTGTGGTAATTTGTTATAGCAGCAATAAGAAACTACTACAGTCTTTGTTCTATCTTGACCCTGACATCTTTCCTGTCAGTGTTTCCTGTCTATATCTGGGAAGAAGCCACCCATTTCAAGGTCATCAACATTGCTCTGGCTAACTTCTCAGCAGTCTTTGATGTCAGGGCTTGTTTCCAGATACATTTAGCAATTTTTGATTGTTGTCTCATGTTCCTTGAAATTTTATTTGTTCTGTATCACATCACTTAGGTCTCTTTTATAAATGTGAGTATGATTATGTGTTTATTTATTTTTAGAAAGGATGTGTTATTTCATCCAGGCATTTGTGTGGAGCCTGACAGTATAAGCAACTCCAAAAAAATTTAATGTACATTTTCAACTTGAGATTTCTTAGGTCACAAAAGTAAGAATTCAAACACTAGCCAAGTGAATGCTGGTGTGTAGTTGGGATTTCTCAAAGGAAGCTTTTAGTTTCCTTGTTTTTACTAAGAACAAAATGAAGACAGAAAATCCTCCTTTTGACAGACGTTTTTCCCCTAAGTTCAACCATTTGGGTCCTCACTATGTAGAAGTCTCAGATCCTTTCACACCAGAACCAGTCTACATCTTTGCCTTTTCTACATTGTACGTAGATGGCTTTTCAAGACCAGCTTCCAGGCCAACGGAGAATGGAGAGTATTTTTAAGTAAATACTAGCTCCAGTGTTAGCTTGTATTTGTGGAATACAGCTTTCTTGTCACTTCTAGCATTTGGTTGTTCTTGTAACATTACCAGCTGCTCTGTTTTGTCCTGAAAACAACTTTGTTTAAAATATTATATCTATCATTTATAAGAATCTGTACTGGGAGGATTTTATCTGTACATCAAGTGTGCCATCTCCAGGAAACAGAAGACCCCTACTGTTTTAAAGACAAATGCACTTGGCCATGGAAACACTACATGTTTTGAATTTCTCTGTATCCTATTTGTTGTTCCTTCTCAATTTCTTCCACTACTTTCTCTTTTTTCCTTAATTATTTGAAGTTGAAATTATTTAGAACTCACTACTACTAGGGCATCTATTCTTCTATGTGTATACCCACTCTTTTTCTCTTATGTAGTTTATCAAGTCATTATTATATTGATGACTTTGAAGTCTTCAGCCCAGACATTGTCATATTGTCACATTGTCACAATATTCTTTTTTTTTTTTTTTTTTTTTTTTGAGACAGAGTCTCGCTCTGTTACCCAGCCTGGAGTGCAGTGATGCAATCTTGACTCACTGCAAACTCCGCCTCCCGGGTTCAAGTGATTCTCCTGCCTCAGCCTCCCAAGTAGCTGGGATTACAGATGCCTGCCATCATGCTGGGATAATCTAATTTTTGTATTTTTAGTAGAGATGGGGTTTCACCGTGTTGGTCAGGCTGGTCTTGAACTCCTGATCTAAGGTGATCTACCCGCCTCAGCCTCCTAAAGTGCTGGGATTACAGGCGTGAGCTACTGTGCCTAGCCTGTCACTATATTCTTAATTATAATATGCAACTCCCTATTTAACAAATATACTTGGTTAACTGATAATTATCTCAATATTAATACATTCAAAACAAACATACAAAAAACATGATTCTTCTCCACAAACTATCTTAACCAACACCCAATGTTTACCTTCCCAGTAATATTGCCACCAACAACTCTGTCACTCAGGGGAACATACATCATTGACTCTCCTTTCTCCCTCATACTCTACATAAAATTCATTAGCAATTTCTCAGTCAGGCTACTTTTTACCATCTCACACTTTCCCCATCTCCCCAACTCAAAACATTGTTTTCTCTTACCTAGTTGAGTGTAACATCTCAATATGTTACACAATTGCCTGTGCCAACACAGCTTCCCAGAGCCTGCCAGTACACCATTCTATAAAAATGTTAGCATAAATATTAAACGTACAGGTTTCTCTAAATTTCAAACATAAATATTATGTCACCCCTACTTGCCGCAGTTTTTTCAGTAATTTTCACCATGCTTAGACTAAAACCTAAGTATACACAAAGCTCAAAAGGATGATGCCTAAATAAACCTTTCTTTACTAAACTTCTGCCATTCACCCCTTCATTCACCCAGCTCTAGTCACACAAATGTTTTAGTTAGTCCTCAAATATGCCAAACCCTTCCCCCACTGAGTAATTTTTGTACTTCCTGTTCTCTTTTCTTGGAATATTCCTCTTCTGTTGACAACCATGTTAATTTACTCACTTTCTCAAGAGTCCCCTATCCAGAAAATGGTCATCCTTGTTTAAAATTGTATTCCTCTCCCTGATTCCCTATTTAATAAACGGTGCTGGGAAAACTGGCTAGCCATATGTAGAAAGCTGAAACTGGATTCTGTCCTTACACCTTACATAAAAATTAATTCAGGATGGATTAAAGACTTAAATGGTAGACCTAAAACCATAAAAACCCTAGAAGAAAACCTAGGCAATACTGTTCAGGACATAGACATGGGCAAGGACTTCATGACTAAAACGCCAAAAGCAATGGCAACAAAAACCAAAATTGACAAATGAGATCTAGTTAAACTAAAGAGCTTCTGCTGGCTGGGTGCAGTGACTCACGCCTGTAATCCCAGCACTTTGGGAGGCCGAGGCGGGTGGATCATGAGGTCAGGAGATCGGGACCATCCTGGCTAACACAGAGAAACCCCGTCTCTACCAAAAATACAAAAAAGTTAGCCTGGTGTGGTGGCAGACACCTGTAGTCCCAGCTACTCGGGAGGCTGAGGCAGGAGAATGGCATGAAACTCGGAGGGGACGGAGCTTATAGTAAGCGGAGATTGAGCCACTGCACTCCAGCCTGGGCGACAGAGCAAGACTCCATCTCAAAAAAAAAAAAAAAAGAAAAGAAAAGAAAAAGAGCTTCTGCACAGCAAAATAAACTACCATCAGAGTGAACAGGCGATCTACAGAATGGGAGAAAATTTTTGCAATCTACTTATCTGACAAAGGGCTAATATCCAGAATCTACAAAGAACTTCAACAAATTTACAAGAAAAAATCAAACAACCCCATCAACAAGTGGGCAAAGGATATGAAAAGACATTTCTCAAAAGAAGACATTTGTGCAGCCAACAGACACATGAAAAAATGCTCATCATCACTGGCCATCAGAGAAATGCAAATCAAAACCACAATGAGATACCATCTCACACCAGTTAGAATGGCGATCATTAAAAAAACAGGAAACAACAGGTGCTGGAGAGGATGTGGAGAAATAGGAACACTTTTACACTGTTGGTGGGACTGTAAACTAGTTCGACCATTGTGGAAGACCATGTGGCGATTCCTCAAGGATCTAGAACTAGAAATACCATTTGACCCAGCCATCCCATTACTGGATATATACCCAAAGGATTATAAATCGTGCTGCTAAAAAGACACATGCACACGTATGTTTATTGTGGCACTATTCACAATAGCAAAGACTTGGAACCAACCCAAATGTCCATCAGTGATAGACTGGATTAAGAAAATGTGGCACATATACACCATGGAATACTATGCAGCCATAAAAAAGGATGAGTTCATGTCCTTTGTAGGGACATGTATGAAGCTGGAAACCATCATTCTGAGCAAACTATCACAAGGACAGAACACCAAACACCACATGTTCTCACTCATAGGTGGGAATTGAACAATGAGAACACTTGGACACACGATGGGGAACATCACACACTGGGGCCTGTTGTGGGGTGGGGGGAGGGGGAAGGGATAGCATTAGGAGATATACCTAATGTAAATGACGAGTTAATGGGTGCAGCACACCAACATGGCACATGTATACACATGTAACAAACCTGCACGTTGTGCACATGTACCCTAGAACTTAAAGTATAATTTAAAAAATAAATGCATAATAAAATAAAATAAAAAATAAAATTGTATACCTCTCCCTCTGTTTCTAACCCCATATCCTGGTTTATTTTAGAGATAGTTTGTCTCTATAATACATTTTTTTATAAAAATTTTTTTCTATAAAAATTTTTTGCTAGAATTTTAGTTCTATTAGGACAGAGATTTTTGTCTTGTTTGTCACTATGTCCCTATAACCTAGAACCTAGAATAATGCCTTGCACTGAGAAATTGCTCATAAACGTTTTTGAAAGGATAAATAAATAAGTCAATAAATAAACTAATGGTTGGATAATGCTGTATTGTGAAAGAAGTCTAGTTCGTTAATTGGAATCAGAGAGGAGTTTAGTATACTTCACACAACAGGCATGAAAAGATTTAACAAAAATAATTTAGATCTGCCTCAAGTAGTATCCCAACTTGTAAGGCAATCTGTAGGGAAAATACATAAAATTATGGCATTTATAGGCCCTCAAGGAAAGTGGTTTGACCTCTTTAAATCCTGTTGGACAGTGTAAAATTTTAGTGGGAATAATTCCCATAAAAACTCTTAAAAGAAGTCAGGGATAATTACTGAGCCTATTAAAATTGAACCTTTTTCTGAAGCTATCCTTACAGGGAGGAATAATGAGAGTAAAGCCTTTGGGAATAACACCTCGCAGTAGAGATGTGCCCAGTGAGGGCATATTGCTGAGCTGAAATTGATTATGCTGCATTTAAAAGATTCTCTTCCTACTTAGCAGCATTAACCACCCTCAGTAGGTCTCTTCCCTTCTTCTTTGTGAGTGTATATCTGTGTGTGTGTTCACTCATCAGTAAAGTCTTGGCCAATTTTTCTTTGAATTAATTTATCTTTCTCCTTCTTTCCCTCTCTCCTTCCATCTTTCTTTCCTCCTCTCTGTTTTCTGTAGTTATTTAGTTGGTGTTATAACACCTGTTCCACTCTATTTTCTGTTGTACCTCTTGCTAAACTTCGCGTGGTGATTTTAAGAAGAATCAGTCATGAAGAACAAGTGAGAAGTTCCCTCATATGGATTTTGTATTCAGGGACCAGGGCACCTGTTTTGCCACAGCAATGTTAGAAGTGCTACCATAAAGAAGGGTCAGAACATTTTCCTTTTTTATTTAAAAAAACATATGAATGTAGGAGCTTTAGCCTGGGTAAGGAAAGGAGACTTTTATAATAAACCAAAAAGTGAGATGATGAAATATAAGTAGAAGAATATTGCAGATGAATTTCTAATCTAATTGGGGGTGAGAGTGAGGAGATGTTGAACATTGTTCCTGGATCAAGAATAAAAGCTTGCTTAAAAGTAAAACTAGAAAATGTGTGACAGGTTATAGGAGCATTTTGTTATATTAAAGCATATGCTGGTACTACAAGAATGGAATCCATAAGAGACCAAAAAGGAAGATTATAAGTACTTTTGCAGCAGCAGATATTGATAGATCTTTAGGTTAAAAATAACTTTATATCATATTAACACTTCTGTGAGATAGAAAAATATATCCTAATGGTCCAGCAAACAATAATGCCAGCAATATAAATAATAAAATGAAATAACTCGAAGATAGTGTTGGTGCTCACGGGTTTTTCTGTCCCATGGTGCTGACGTGCCACCTGCCTCCTTCCAACCACACTCAATCACAGCCTCCTGAGAGCCCGGATACAACGGGAGAATCACTCTGCTTCTTTGTGAAAGCTACACTACTGAGTGGCACTGAATGTCATCATGATCCCCCAACTTCCAGGGATTTGGGCTGCAGGAACCTTGAGACTATAAGGCAGTCTTCAAGGGCACCTGAACTCTGTGTGAATCTCCTGAGAGAAGCCCGTGATTAACCCAATGCCACTTTCTCCTCCATCTACTACAAGGGAGATAGCATGTGTAATAAAAGCTGTCCCAAGGATCAGATGTGTGCTGTGGCCCCAGCTGTATAATGCTTGCTAGCATTGAGGCATTAGGCTGATCTCTACTCTGAAACAGTCAACACATTTTTACATACCCAGCCTTTACAGGAGTTTCCACTGTGATGCCATATAAATGAAATCACTGTGATAGCTGTAAAACCTCATTCAGTGTAAGCTGTTCTACTTAAATACAAGCATCACAACACTCCTAAACAATTGCCTTGCATGAATGAGGAGTTTTAAGCATTCTTCAAACTCTTTGTGTCTAAGAAAATGTTAGAAGTTTATTGGTCATAAGTGTTTCTGTTCTTAAATAATCAAAAATGTTAACAGAAGTTACTGATAAAATAGTTTGTTGTCTTTAAAATTCCCTCAGGCAACATTTATTTATTTACTTATTTATTTTTCAGAGATGGGGGTCTTGCTATGTTGCCTAGGCTGGACTCAAACTCCTGGGCTCAAGCAATCCTCCTGTCCCAGCTTCCTGAGTAGCTGAGACTACAAGTGTGTACTACTGTGCCTGGTTAGCAACATTTTGGCAGCTGTTTAATAAGCAGATTTTAGATATGCTTTTAGTTGCCTGTAATATTAACAAAAAAACTTCTGAATAAACTTTTGCCAGACCCACTATCTGCCTCAGTATAGAAAAATAACACTCTTGGTTTAAGCATGAGGAATACACCCTTGCTTCTTAACTACAATGAAAACATAAGGTAGAACTGTTCATCTGGAAACCCATGGGTCAAGTGGAGAGAGCCACCTGCTGTGTGACAGATCACAAAGTCTTTTCCATGCTCAGCAAGCCCTGGCCTCCCTCTCTGCCAGCAGTGTAGGGATCAGCAGTCTACTATCTCATAGAGAAATCCAGACACAAAGAAAGATGACCGAGGTCACAGAACCCCCCCTCCCGAACCCCCCTTTGCTGGGTGCACACTGAGGCTTTCTGTAAGATATAAAGTAATCTTTTCCTTTCAGTAACTTCCCACTTTTTGTCATTTACTTACCGGCACTTTAAAAAATCTACATTGGAAAAAAAGTTTTAACTGTTTAGGAGGAAGTAAGAAAAACTGGCTGAATGCAGAAGATGGCAGATTTAGAAACAGAGAGTTATATACCACGAAGGGAAAAAAATAGATGAGAAAATCTAAAGGATCTGATGTTAATAATTTCAGTAGATATTTATATACAAATGAGAATCATAAAAATGAGCACACAAGTTAAATGAAAACAAGAGTTATGGAATGAGGAAATAGATGAGAAACTGACAAAAGTTATAAATAATAAAATATCCTGGTGAAGAAGATATGTTTAGTCACAAGAATACAACCCAGAAATAATCTTAGTAGGCCTTAGACAATTATAAGTGTGCTTGCTTTAAGACTTTTAATGATTTATTTTGCTTTTGCGGGAAAAAATGGCTATGGAATACCTTGAGAAAAACAAACCAACCAATACAAACACAAAATAGGACTTTGGCTTCAGAGTAAACCTATCTTCAGATCCTGATTGCTTTATTGGCTATTTGTTTGATATTAGGTACCAAATTTACTGTTTAAATTTCCTGAGCCTCAGCTTATGACTTGAGGGTTGTTTTAAGTGTCAATTCATCAATTTACTTAAGGCATTCAGGATATATCTATGCCCAACAAATGTTAAAGCTATACCGCATCTTGCCTGTTGTCTCCTCTAAAATGCATTGCTTACTTAGCTTTATTTATTTTCCACTTCCTCATTTCTACTCACTGCCTGGAGCACAGTAGCTATTTATTAATGAATTATGATATTAACGTAAAAACTTATAAACATATAAAAATTGGTCCAAATTTGGCTCAAAATGTCAATAACATTTAAATACTTAACTTTTTAAAAATGTTATAATGGTAGAAAATGTAGTCATATTCAGTATTTTAAAAAATAGCTTTAGAATTGTTTAAATATCTTTATTTCCTTTGATTCAAAAAATAGTAATAGCAAATTGAAAACAAACAGGCATTTGAAACAGAAGATTAACAAGTGTGCTTTGTTTGAAGGTGGTAACTTTTCATTAATTGACAAATTTTCAGTAATTTTAAATACATTAATAAGTAGCATATAATCTAGCTTATTTCAGGGAATAGTATAAATACATATTTAATTACACAGTATCTGACAATAATTGTGCTATCTTTTGTTACCTGTGGAACTCATGAAATTTTTTTTTTCTTTAACAATGCTTTTTGTCACTCACTAAAATATTAATGACTGATCATTCTTTACCTTTCAGGAAGCTATAAGAAACACACACACACAGAGATTCAAAAAGAATTAAAAATTCAAAGTTTATTTTGTTGCTTTTATGTTATCAGTAAAATTGGCAAGTTAAAAGAGATGACTGGTAGTCTCACACCAAGATACACACCTCTGAAGTGCTGCCAGATCTATTTCAAACAGCTGCTTTTGGCATTGAGTTCACTTTAATGCTATTTGTCTCAAGACTACCCACTGTCCCGTTTTAAGTGACAGTATACACCTGGCATACCATCCAACCTGCGTTAAACTCTCTCCTTCAAAATGTGTTAAGTATAGCCAGAAATGCTAACAATTTAAAGTGCACTTGCATGTCAGCAGTTATGTCTAATAATAATTACTTTTCTCATATCATGAAATACAACATATTTTAATAGAATTGTTTCTTTAAAAATAGTCATTGCAAAACCCCAGTAATTTAAATTATAAAATTGTGCCATTTTATTGAATATATAAACATTTATTTTCTCTAGTAGGAATCAGCTAATTACGTCCCATGATTCAAATCTGGCCAGTGGATTCTAATTCCTTTTGTATCATTGATGGATTAAGAATGGTTTTTATATATTTAGGAGTTATGAAATAAAACCAAAAAAGAATCTGTAGCAGAGCCCATGTGCAGACTTCAAAGCCTAAAATATTTAGTATCTGTCCCTGCAGAGACAGAAAAAATGCAGGCTCCTGTTCTAGAGTAATTCTCTAACCCATACTTCTGCTTCGAGTGTGTTTTAACAAAATATTTCAAAAGAACCGGAAGGATATTTCCTCCCTTCCTGAAATATTTTGGTGATTCTACAGAGCCATAATAGATGCAATTCTTTCCCATTAATGCATCGATCTGTCAAATTACTAAGATTTATAAAATTAAAGGCCGTTAACTTAATATTCTTTCTGTAGCTATTTCTCTTAGTTTGTGCCTAATTTTCTTGGTACATTTTATAAGTTTGCAAAATAAATGTTGGCGCTATGTCTGCATAGCACTAATGTATACATTTTAAAAGCCTGAATTTAAGGCATAATTTTGCCATGGGGACTGTAAATAGATATACCAGCCTTCTGATAAATCTGGGGAAATGCTGAATTTTTATTTATGTCTTCAGGTGACAAGCTGTGATGGATGGCCTGACAAGGTCCCCTAGTCTAGTTTTGCACTGCTAGGGAAATGATGGTGGCATCGGCCTGCCAGTTTAGTTATCAACAGCTAACAGCCTTAGGGCAGCAGTTTAAAAGGCATTTGTTTGCACTTTCTAACAAGTACATTCTATTGTATAGTTGATTCAAGTAAGCATAATTTTATAACTTTGTTAAAGCCCTTAATCACTAGTAAAATTTCCTTTTCCTGGTATGAACAGTCCTAATAATAAATACGTATCTTGAAAATTGTACCACTCTATTTAAAATCAAAGCAAACATTTCACTTAGTATTGCTAAATAATTAGCATGGCACTATTTTTCGTTATTCTGCCATCAAATCCTTGTTAAGTAACATTTTTTTCCTTCATCACAGAAATTGCTCATTTACTGATGAATTATTACTCTCCCTCTTATCATCAGGTGAAGGCTGTCATCCTTTGCTGCTGCCTGGGAATGTATATTTCTAAGAGGAAGTTATCTAATTTTAGCAGTCATAGCTAAAAATGATGTTACTGTTAGTTGTCAGAGAAGTGATCATTAAAGAGTCTATTTTCCCTTTGAAGCAAGCAATTCAGATCAACTTTTCAAGGCACTTAGAATTGCTGTGAATATGCCTCCAATTTTCACCTCATTTTTGTTACTCTCTTATCAATGTCATTTGTTATGAATGTAATACAAATAATAAAAACATTTTTTGTTCACTTCTCTGGATATGTCATTATTTAAGTCAATTATGTTTTAAAACCCTTTGTAATAATTTATTTGTAAAATTATCAATTTTAAAAGAAAATCCTATTTCCATTTTTTATGAAAATTCTGTGTGCTATATGAAAGCTTTTATAAATGCAGAAATTTCTAGCTTTTAATGTACATAAGTTTTACCAAAAGTAAGCTTTTGCTTCATTTCCAACAGGGACATGATGGAAAAATATTTGAATTATTCTGGTGCTTCCTAAAATGATATTTTCATATCCTAAATACAGGCTCAATATTGTCATAAAATGATTGTAACTTTCTTTTTATTTTGTCTTCAGAATACTCAATCATTGGGTAAAACTATAAATCACATCTGTCCTGTTCATAAAAATATTATACGTAACAAATTTGTTATGAACAATGCTGATATGATTTATAATCATCCTATATACACTATAGTATGTATATATACTCTATAAAGCAAGAAGAAAACCCAATTGAAAGATTTCATAGAGATATCCAAAGTATTTGAAACATTTTGACATAAGCCACAGAGTATAACAAATAAAAATATTGAACTTGGGACTGAGAAGACCAGCTGTTTTCTCTTTTGCACTTTAATGGAGACCACTAGTAATATATTTCTAAGCCTAATATGAAGAATGAACTTTGTTCTCGCTGGGCTTCAAGTGACATTTAGCTATATGAGAGGTTCTCTTCACTATTTGCCAACTCCATACACGCAGCAGCTTGTTTCCCTGGGTGATGGGTTCCATCGGAGATGCTTTTGATCTGAAGATTATATTAGTCTTTTGTAAGGACCTGCTTGGTAGCTGTGGAGCTGCAGAGTTGAGAAGACAGAACAGATTCAGTTTAGTATTTGGCTATTGTGTTCTCGATGACCTCCTGACATACTCTAGACAACATCCTGTAGCGGCAGTACACATTCTTTGAAATGCACAGGCAAAGAGTCTCTCTGTTATGTTTCCCTGTGCAGGCTCAAGTGAAGACTGATTCTGTTATTCTTAACATTTTCTGCTTCTTCCTTACTGTCTACCCATGTATATCACAGTATATTTGCAATATTATAAAGAGTCTCTACGTATTGTAGCAGAGATTTCTCTATTAGCTCAAGATTATTTCAAAGTCAGTTCCAGTTTCTGGCTCATCTGCAACTATTGAAAAGAACAAAGATATCAAACAAAACTTATTTTTAATAATGAAAAAGCATAGGATTAGTTTCAAGATAAAGTGTTCTGTATTTTGAATAAACTACCGTAGAGCATTCAAAGTTGAAGACAGTCCTTTTTGACAGCAGTTTTAAGATGGGTAGCACACAGATAGGAGGACAATTTTACAAGAGAATAGCAAAAAGATAACAGAAGTGAAAGAAGTTATGTGTAAAGGCAAATATGCTTCCACTTGCAGATGATCTGTAAAGACAGCAGTAAGAAAGGCTCATGGGACATTAGGGAGATGACTTGAGGATAAACAAACACATGTGGGGTTCTATAATAGATAATAACCCAATTTTATCCTGAGGCATAACCCTATTTTCTTAGTTTTAAGAGATCTGTTTACTCACTAAGGCAAAGGGCAACTGTGTTTGCAATAGAAAGCATGCAGATGAGAAAGTTCCTTTGCCAAAACACTGCAAGTGAAGTTTATCAAATGTAACATGCTCATAACACTCAGTGTGTCATAGAAACGGTAGGAGTCAGAAGAATAATAGATAAGAGAGACCCCAAAAAAGACTGGAAATAATTCTCGGATAAGCAAAGTACAACTAAAGAAAATGAGAGAGAAAAATTCACTATCCCAGTAAGTGAAAGAAAAAAGCTTCTCCTTCCATGAGAATTGTCTAAGGTTCAACATCAGGGATTTATTAAGGAATAGGAATACCCAACTGAGACAAATAGCTGAGAAGATTTAACAGGAGGTTAGAACTATACCTATTTTAGCGTTTGCAGCATAAGCATCAGAGAGGAGTAAGAAGGAAGCCCAAATCAAGGACTCCTCACATGTAATTCCTCTCAAACTAGATAATTATAAAACCAGGAATGTGGCCATATGTGGGAGGAAATTTGTTTATTTCCTATTTTCAGTTAAGCAAATATTTGAAACTGTTTTTCACTTATTCCAAAGCCATTTCAGCTTATCTATTGCTGAATACCAAAATATCCCAAAACAAAATGGCTTAAAATAATGACAATATTTTTATCTATCTCATTGCTTCTGAGGGTCACAAATCCAGTCACAACTCAGCTGTCTGGCTCAGAGTCTCATATGCAGTTATACCAGAAGGTGGCTGGATTTTGACATGCAGGAGACTGGAGCAACCAGCCAACCATCTCTTCCTCTTCATGTAGTCTCAAGTCTCTTCATATAGACATCCTCATGTGGTCTCTCCATGTGAGATAATTTGAGCTTCCTCATAGCTTGGTGACCTCAGAAGAGTTGGACTGTTTCCATGGTGGCTGAAGCCTTCAAGAATGAGAATCTGATTGGATAAAGCAGAAGCAACATTGCCTCTTCTGGTCTCGCCTGAGAAATACCACAGTATTGCCTGCACCCCATTCTATTGGTTACTGTCAAGCCAGGAGTCTTCTTCAATGAAGGTATGTCTAAGTCACATTCTAGAAGAGCATGTGGGATGGATATATTGTTGTAGTTATATCTACAAAATCTGTCTCCCAAGCAAATGAAAAACTTACATACTGTAAAGTGTTTCGTACATATTATTGATATATAACTAATAATAATATACAAAATATTTTTTATATATTTCATAATATATATTACTGTCATTACTGCCACTGAGCTCCTGTCAATTGGATGTTGCTGCATGGTTGCCACAGAAATCAATTCTCCATGATCACTTGGATTTTACATCACTGTCTCCCGTTTCAAAGGTTGGGTCACGTTCACCTGCTTCCTTTCAGATGCTCATGGGCTAGTGTAAGAAAGGCCAAGTTAATGAGTATCTGGTATTTAACCTTCAATATTGCAGGGTGATTTATAACTCCTACCAATTCCCAAGACTCACAGCATAAGGTGGGTAAGGTACCAAGTACTCTAGGGTAAGGGATAATTCTTAGGCAGGACAGCCAAAGAAATTTTTCTACTACATAAACTAGCTTTACTTATTAATTTAGTCCTATAGTAAATGGGCATGAAAAAGGAAGAGTGTATAAATCTTGCAATGGCCTATGAAAATTCAACTACAACCTTTCAAGGTAGACATGAACAAAATATACATACCTGTGACTCATTTAATATAATCTTTTAAAAATACTGATTATTATGAATTTTTGAATTTTCCAAATGATTTGACAAAGTCAGAATGTAGAGAAAAGGTATACCTGAACATAACCATACTCAGTGAATGTGTCAAAAATTTTAATATAAAATGTTTAGATTTTTTAAAACTTCTAGTTTTTCTTTTTTTCTTGATGATTTATATAGTATATACCCATAAACTTATAACAAATATATATGTGGCTATATAAATTATTTTTAATACTATTATTGATAGTAACTACCTTCAAAATAGAAATTCTTATTAATATATCTGAATGAAAAATATGCAAATAAAACATACGTAATAGTATATATATAAATACCAATAGATCATTTCATATATTTCTAGATTGTTTTGTTATGAATGTTGTTTCAACTACTTATGTCATTATTTTAAAAACTTTTATTAGCAAATATGTTTCTAACCCCATCGAACTTACGAGAAAAAAATCTGAAAATAGCACTGCTTCCTGAATTGAGGTTTTTTGGTCTTTATATTCCAATAAAATACTTTTTTTAAAAAAATTATTGCTATCTTGTGAATATCCTTTATGTTGTTAGCTCATCTTTAAGTGGTCCTAAGTTACTATTTGGTGGTTGAAACTTTGAAGTGTTCTCATAAATCTTGAGATTAACTATAGATACTGTAATATAAGCTTGTAAATGTAATATGATATTCCTCACTTTCTATGAAAAATCATTCTTCACCACATTTTAAAATCTATTTTTGACTCCCCATTGTACATATCCACATAGCTAATCACTTATAATAGTGACTGTTGCTGAACATTTAACATGATGGCATATTGATGCATCTTATTAAAATAAGATGGCAAAATTTCTGATCTAGAACCATTTTAATGATACACACACACATACATATCCCCAATGGATTATATAAATTCTAGTAAGTGTAGGGGCCATACTAGCTTTGTTTATCAGTATTTGTAAATCCTTTTCATACTGTCCAGGACAAAGGAGGCACTCCAACATTTTTTCTTGAATAAATGACTAGTTGAATTAAAGATCAATTAAGTGATGAGACTAAAGTACTAGGGGCATGATTGTTTTCTTGAGATTTTCAAATTATACAGGTCTGCTTTTCTCTTTATGAAGCTTTATCAAAACTTTGGAGCTAAAATTTCATCTCTGTGGTTCAAATAATAATAATAGTAAAAACTGACCATCACTTCTGAAGTCTATACAACTTGTGAAGGAAAAGTATGCAAAACATGTTCTCTCCTAGGGAAAGAGTCTCTTCATTTCTCATCCTCATCCTAATCATCACCTATACCACGCATCCATCCTGTTCGTCCTTCACGTTTCCCAATTCGATGAATGGCACACCTGTCCTGAAAGATATCCTTTCTAACTCTTTAGCCTCTCAGGAAACCTACCTGATATATCTCTAAAGTATACATTTATAATTGTCCCACTTATTTATGATGTTTATACTGCTACCACCCTGACTCTAGCCAACAATATCTCTCACTAGATTGCTGCCATTGTGCATCCACCATGTTTCCCTATTGTACCCTTAACCCAATCTATTCTCCACAAAGTGACTCAGAAGATCTTTTCACAACATGAATCAGAATACATCTATCCTCTCATTATCTCACTAATTCTCCACATTATATTAAGTGTGAAGCCAAAATCCTTCTGAAAGTCCATTAGACCCTCTGTGATCTGGCATCTCCCATGCCCCACTTTCCTCCCCAACTTCTTCCGTGTCTTCTTTCAGTGAAGACTTTCCCAGCTACGTTGTTGGACATGGCATATTCTGCTTGACATATATTTCCTCTTCTTTTATTCATTTCCACCATCTTGGCACACATTATATTTTACTTATTTACTTCATTACGAGTCCACTAGAATCTAAGCTCTCCAAAGGCAGGGATTTCTGGTCTATTTCCCAGACTGAATTCTAATGCCTAAAAACAGGGGACAAAAGAGATAAATGGCAAATAAAGAATTGCCATTTGTAATTGTTATAAATGTATTCTTCCTATCTATTCTGGAATGTATGCCATACTATGGATTTTACTTCCACTGCTTATTTTAAAAGAAACTATTTCTTTTCAAATGAACCATTATATAAAAACCATAATAAAATGAAATGAAATGGAAATGTGTTAGAATTTATTCATTATTTTTAATTACTGAAATGTAATTATAGAACAAAGCTTCGGCATCGTTTTTCCTGAAATAGATTATTTGATTAGAAATATACATGATAATTTCCTTACATGCTGTTTTTACAAAAATACCATACTTCTCTCAAACCTCAAAGCAGTTTTTGCAGAAGTTACACATAGATAAATTATTTAAATCATGATTAAAATGGCAGCATAGGATGGTGCATCTTTCCTTGGATCTCAAAATACCTGTTATTTTATAGCTCACCATGATTAATTTTAAAAAATTCTTATGCTCAGAATGATGTATTTCTGGTCTCTTGCTTTTCTTCTCCCAATTTAGATACATTACTGTTTTATAAATTCATAGGCAATTACTCTTGATCTCCCCTTGCACAAAAAATGTTACAAATATCTTGAGAAACATTACCCTCATTTTTAAATAGCTTCGGAATCTCCTGATTTGCTATTTGCAAACTGGAGAAAGAGAAAACCTGGAGGTATAGTTCTAGTGCAAGCCTGAGGGCCTGCAGACCGTGGGAGCCCCAGTTTGTAAGTCCCAGTTTGAGTCTGAAGGACTGAGAACCAGGAGCACTGATGTTAAGGGCAGAAAACTGATGGGTGTCTCAGCTCCAGCAAAGAGATCAAATTTGCCCTTCCTCTGCCGTTTTGTTCTATTGAGGCCCTCAACAAATTGGTTGATGCCCACCCTGTTGGTCTGGGTGATTTTCTTTACTCAGTCTGCCAATTAAAATGCTAGTATATTCTGGAAAAACCCTCAGAGATAAACACAGAAATAATATCTGTCAGCTATCTGGACATTTCTTAGTCCAGTCAAGTTGATGGATCAAATTTACCACCACGCTACGCATTCCTACCATGATATTTTATTGATTCAGGAACTAGGATACATATTACAGATCATTCAACAGAGAGAAATAAAATAATTTAAAGGATACTGTGAAGCTGACATTTTGCATACTATGCCTTGAAAGATCAAGAATGAAACAGATATATATGGTAGTGATAGTAACATCAGTACCAGTGGTTACAATAATACAAATAAATAGCACTTACATGGACTAATACAGGCCAATTACTCTTGTGTTTCACAATGAATAACTCATTTAAGCTTCAAAGAAACTTATAAGTCTTAATACTATCTGCCCTATAGCGATGAAGTAACTGAGTTATAGAAAATTTGAATAACTTCTTAAGGTCACATAGCTAGTAAAAGAAGAGACCCAGTTTTAAAATCAGACACTTAGCTCCAGAGTGTGTGGTCTTTACCATTACACAACATTGTTTTTGCAGGAAAAATACTTATCTAGAACAAAGTATATAAGATTGATGAAGATTTAGTAATTAAAATAGACATCTAGATAAAATAGTAGGTGAAGATACTGAAAATTCTCTGCACATTATTTTTTTAAATGCAATACAAGAATTTTTCCAATCTAGATTGTGTAGTTCACAGAATGGCAGAGCAACCAGAGTCACGTAATAAAGAAGATGATAAGAAAGGGACAGCTGAGAAAATCCATCTTTTGTAATTATATATATTGTAACTTATTTGTAATGAATAATTAAAATAAATATCAGAATATTTACTTCACAGTAATCTAACCTGTAATGTATATTTTCATTGTTTTTCAAGAAATTGTATCTATCATCACTTTAGCATGGCCTTGCTCATTATTATTTAATCTTTTATTAAACCCAGTATTAATATAATTCATACATCAAACATCAGTGAATAAATCCATAAAAAGTGCTTGAATGTATTTTTTAAATGTGGAAATAACACAAGAAGACAGCCAAACAAAATGCACAGTGATTTTGTACTAGTCATTAGCGATAAAGTGATGAACAAGTAAATCTATTTGTATAACAGAAAATATGTTTTAACTGTAGTTATTCAATTTGTAGCAAATTAAGTAGGTAAACCAGATCAACAATGCCCCTTACAGAATTACATCTGAACAGATAATCTATCCAAATACATAGCATAATACATTGGCATCCTATCCAGCCTTCTTGCTATGCCTTCACTCCATAATGTTTTGCTTCTTATTTGTAGGTAATATTCATACACCCTAATAATTCTATGAAACATTTATTATCAGCTGATCTACTTATCTGATTATCTATCTATATCTAGATCTGTCTCTGTATTATCTTTCTCAGATAAATACATTTCTAAATTTCTCAGCCTTAGTCTTGATTCTCTACAGCTTCTTATTGCCATTGTGAGATTCAGCGATGCTTCATCTTCTCTGGTATGTCTAGATTCTCTGTGGAAGAAGATAAACTCATAGGTCCTGTGTAGTTTCTCATTGTCAAACCTTTTTCCACCTCTCAGCTTCGTATTTCATTTTTTTCATGTCAACTCAGTTTTAGATTCCTACTAGTTTATTATAATCATTTCATCTTTTATTTTTCTTCCAATATATTTAGTGACTCTTTATCTGCTCTGCAGAAAAATTACAGCAGAATTTTTCCACAAGATCTTCATGCTTTTTTCAAGCATAGAAAAGAATGCTATACCTAGTACATGCACAACTTCTTTGTGTAAAGGTGGTCACAATAGTACAGTGCTATAAAGCCGTGGGAATAGATCCACTAATACTGGTTATATGTTGATCAGGGCTCAAGTGCTAAAGGGACAGACTATTTCTTGCGCTCCACTCAGTAACTTCCTAAGTTAATGAAATCAAACATTTCCAGGTATGGCCTAGCTCATGAAGAGAGGGTTTAATAAGCACTCCCTTTTTAGTAATTTAAGAAGTTTTCTACCTTTTATTTCCCAGAAAGTAATAACTGATTTAAAAAAATAAAACAGTCCACTAAGCAATATATGAACCACATACCCCAGGTAGGCTATCCAGATATTTGTAAAAGTTACTATAAATTGGCCGGGCGTGGTGGCTCACGCCTGTAATCCCAGCACTTTGGGAGGCCAAGGCGGGCAGATCATGAGGTCAGGAGTTCGATACCAGCCTGGCCAACATGGTGAAACCCCGTCTCTACTAAAAATACAAAAATTAGCCCGACATGGTGGCGCACTCCTGTAATCCCAGCTGCTTGGGAGGCTGAGGCAGGAGGATCACTTGAACCCAGAGGCAAAGGTTGTGGTGAGCAGAGATTGTGTCATTGAACCCCAGCTTGGGCAACAGAGCAAGACTCCGTCTCAAAAAAAAAGTTACTATAAATCATTAAAAAAATGGGGACACACTCAATTTTAAATTGAGATATAGATGGATACCAGTAGACATGGATTCATAGATGAATAATTCAATGGAAAAATTAATAAAATAAGAAATTCAAATGGCCAAGAAACAATTTAAAAAAATCTTTTGTAACTAACACATAAAATAAAACAAATGTGATACCATTTTTACCTATAAAATTGGTGCATAATTAATTAGTAACAAACAATGATATAGAATATATGGTGAAATTAGTGTTTTCAAACATTATTGTGATGTAAACTTTCTGGAGGCAAACTGTTACTAATTACCAAAACATCTAAAACTTTCATATATCAACTCATAAAGAACTTCTAGAAATTTACTCTCAGGAAATCGTCACAAACCTTTATTCATCACAGGGTTAAAGGTTTTCTAAAATCTAACATTACTTATTTTTATGTATTTTTGGTAGTCTCCTACCAGAGAACACTGCATAAATAAATGTAGATGAAATACATTCTTACTAGATGATAATAAGCTCTTATTAAAAATCATGTTGTAAAACATATTTAACAACGTAGGAAAAGATCATGATTTAATCAATAAAGCTGGTTACAAACCTCCATCCAAATTTGTAAAGAAATAAAATAAAATAGAATCAAGAAAGAAGCAGGAATATTAAAAATGTTCACTCAAGTAATATTTTTTAATGTTTTTAAATTCAGTCTTTCAAGATGGCTGCAATTTACAAATTTTAACAATACATGTGTGTTAATTCTATAATCAGGAACAATTCCATATGTAAATAATACAATTCTCACTGGGCACAGTGGCTCATGCCTGTAATCCCAAGCTTTGGGAAGCCAAGGCCGGAGGATCATTTTAGGCCAGGAATTTGAGATCAGTCTGGATGAGACTCTGTGTCCACAAAAATAAAAATGTAGCTTGACATGTTGGCATGCCCCTGTAGTTCTAGCTACCTAGGAGGCTGAGGTGGCAGCCTCATTTGAACCCAGGAGTTCAAGCCTGCAGTGAGTCATGATTATACGACTGCATTCCAGGCTGGGCAACAACAGCAAGAACCAAACTGAAAAATAAGTAAGTAAATAAATAATACGACTTTGTATTTTAAAAAATCAAATTCATACCCATTACGGTGATGAAAAAAATCTCTAGGCTTAGAGATTTAAATAGAATTGTTTTTAAAAACACATTAACTTTTTCCTAATATTTACTAATATTCTTAAATTAAATTATGACATATAAATCTGTTCACATGCACTGTACACTAATATTTAAAATACTTTCTGTACAGAATAATTAAATAACATGAAACAAATGCATCCATTTGAACTTTTTTCATTTATAGCTAAAATTTTTTAAAAATTTTTAGATAAGGCCAGGCGCAGTGGCTCCTACCCGTAATCCCAACACTTTGGGAGGTTGAGGCGGGTGGATCAGGAGGTCAGGATATCAAGATCATCCTGGCTAACACGGTGAAACCCCGTCTCTACTAAAAATACAAAAATTTAGCCGGGTGTGGTGGCGCCTGTAGTCCCAGCTACTCGGGAGGCTGAGGCAGGAGAATGGCGTGAACCCAGGAGGCAGAGCTTGCAGTGAGCCGAGATTGTGCCACTGCACTCCAGCCTGGGCGACAGAGCGAGACTCCGTCTAAAAAAAAAAAAAAAAAAAAAAAAAAAAAAATTCTTTCCAAAATAAATTAATTAGTTAGGGATTCAATATTTAAAAATATTAAAGCATTGCCATATATTTTTAATCAATCAAATCCACAATTTTGAGTGTAAAATTTAGTGCATTATGAGCAATTTATGCAGTTTCTAACTACAACCACAATCAACATATGGAACATTTCAATGATCTTCCAAAATTTCTTCATGCCCTTTTGTACTTGATGCCTCCCCCCATAGCCAAATCTCAGCAACCACTGATTTATGTACTACACTTCCACCTTTCCTAAAATTATATACAAATAAAATTAGACCATATGTAGTCTTTTGTGGCTAGTTTATTTAACTTAATAGTTTGGATATTTATTCTTGTTGTTTTCTGTTTTGATAGTTCCATTTTATTGTAGAATGTAATTCTATTATATGAATATATCACAATTTGTTTATACATTTATCTGCTGATGAACATTTGTTTGGTTTTAGCTATTGCAAATAAAACTGCTTTGAACATTCACTTTCAAAGCTTTGAGTATACATATATATATATTCTTTAATTTCTCTCAGATAAAAGCTTATACATGGAATGTGGGCTTTCTAGGTTGTATGGTAAGTAAATGTTTATCCTTTATTTTAAAAATGCTAATTTCCAAAATGTCTACCATTTTGTATTACTAACTGCAGTATATAAAATTTCAAGTTGCTTTATATTCTCATTTGTTATTGTCAATCTCTCATTTTAGCCATTCTAATAGGTGTGTAGGGATATTGTGGTTTTAATCTGCATTTCCTTAATAACTAATGATTTTCAGCGCCTTTTAAAATGGCTGTTTGTCTTTGGTATATCTTTCGTTGAATACATTATTCTAAAAATGCATTTACTTAAAGATGTATTGATTTAATAAATTTATTTAAAATTGGATATTTGTCTTTTCTACATTAAATTGTAGGATTTTAAAAACTATGTTCAGATACAAGCCTTTTATGAGATTTATGTATTACAGATACTGTTTTCTCAGTTTGTATCTGGCTTTATTATTTTCTTTACATGGCATTTTGAAAGGCAAAAGTTTCAGTTTGTCTTTTATTTAATCCCTCCTTTCCTCAACTTAATATGTATAGACAAGTATACATTAGACATGTATTCATCAAGAAAGATGTTAAACAAGCAAATTAGTTTTAAGACCTAAAAGACATTAAAAAGAAATTTAGAAAACTTTTTTTTTCTCTAGATTGTCTAAATTTTCTAATAGGTGAGAGAGCAAAGAGTAGAACAGAAATAAGATCTTTCTCTCCTTTAAGTCACATTCATTAACTGTAGATCATTTTTCAGAGGTCAGGTCACGTGTGCTTGCTTCAGAGAAATATTCTTTGTCCTGCACAGGTCCTCTTGCCTTCAAACTTCAAGTCATGCACTTTTGTTTAAAACTTTATAGTTCTTTGCTCCCCTCCTTTTATAAAGAAATGTTGTTATCTGCTTTTAATTTTGCATTCATTATCATGAATGTCTTATTAATATCTGTCCTCCCACGTTAAGGTGCAATATTCATAAGGGCAGAAATAATAGTGATTTTTATTGTTGGTTCTCAGTGACAAGAACAAGTTATATCTGTTTAAAAATATCTATGTATCTAATGTATGTGATTAGATCTGCTGTGAAACTGTAGCATCTTGTGTGAACAAATATATATGTGGGAAGACATAACTTGTATGTGTGCTGTAAATTATATGTGCGATAGAACCTAAGTGTCTTATTATCTGTTACTGATATTTCTTGTTCTTGGGTGGCCATATCCATTTACTATGAGATAAGTCTGAGGTTTAAAGGTAGCTTAGTATCCCTGATTTTAGAAGAGCCTCAATTTCAAATATTCAATCAATTCGAAGTTCTGACTCCCCCTCCCGGCTCCTTCTGCCATGTCAAGTTTTCCCCTTCATCTCCACTTTCCCAGGTTCTTTACAAGGGACATTTTAGCTATCTTCTTGGCATCTAGAAGATGAGCATTTCAGACTCTTGCTCTATTTTGGGTACCTACTGGCCATCACTGAGAGGTCTGCCAATCACCAGGCAAGATTTGTTCTGTATCCACATGGTGTTGCTAGAAGTATTATATCTTTTGGTAAGAGAGGTTCTTCCCTTATTATACTGAAAAGATTGTGTCCAGTTCTCTACTTGATGCTGTGTGTGTACTGTAACAAAATTTAAGATTATTGTTTGTGATGGTAAATACCGAGTGTCAACTTGATTGGATAGAAGGATGCAAGGTATTGATCCCGGGAATGTCTGTGAGGGTGTTGACAAAGGAGATGAACATTTGAGTCAGTGGGCTGCAAAAGGCAGACCCACCCTTAATCTGGGTGGGCACCATCAAATCAGCTGCCAGCATGGCAAGAATATAAAGCAGGCAGAAAAGCATGAAAAGATTGGCCTAGCCTCCCAGCCTACATCTTTCTCCCATGCTGGATGCTTGCTGCCCTCGAATATCGGACTCCAAGTTCTTCAGTTTAGGGACCTGGACTGGCTCTCCCTCCTCCTCAGCTTGCTGAAGGCCTATTGTGGGTCCTTGTGATTGTGTGAGTTAATACTTAAGAAACTCCCCTTTGTATATATATATCTCCCCTATTAGTTCTGTCCCTCTAGAGAACCCTGACTAATACAGATATTGGTACCAGAAGTGGTTCTGGGGAAACCAAATATTAAGGATGGAGTTCTTTTATTGGTTTTGGGGTTTCTGGAGTTGGCTGCTTAATATGATTGACCCAAAACTGCTAAGGACTCTACTTCTAATAGTATGGAGAACACTGATAGTCTTTGGCATGAACTCTTTAGACAATTATGCAAAATAAATGCATTTTACACTCCTCATTCACCACTTTTGAGAGGTAAGGAGTTTAGTGACCCTATACATAATACCTTTGACCATATATGGAGAATCAAGGAACATAATAAGGCTGGTTGGTTGCTCCTAAGTTCAGTGGACAAAGTAATGAAAGAAAATGATGAACTCAGAGATTCTGTCTTCTGGCTTCAGAAGCAGATACTGAGCCTCAAATCTGCTAAGATTGCCCTGATTGACAGTCTTGTCTTCTCTCGAGAAAGAGCTGAAATTATGGATAAACAGACACAAGCTCTTATCATATGAGTGTCTGACCTGCAAAAAAGGTGCATGCAGAGCCTCGCCAGGTGTCTACTGTTAAAGTGGGGGCATTGATTGGAAAACAATAGGTCCCTGCAACTTGAAATGGGGATGTGTGGGAGGACCCTGATGAAGCTGGGGACACTGAGTTTGTAAACTCTGATGAAACCTTTTTTTTGCCAGAAGAAACAGCTTCCTCATCCCCAGTATTGGCAACATCCCCTCTCCAACCCATGCTGCCATCAGCCTTTCCACATTTGTCTGAAGAAATAAACCCTGGGCTGCCTGAGGCAACTGTGATGGCCTCCCCTGAGGCAGTTGCCAGACACAATAATATTGATTCTCCTAAGGAGCCACCCCCAACTCTCCTGTTTGCTTCTAGACCTATAATTTGACTAAAGTTCCGGCGGGCCCCCAGAAGTCAGGTTGAGAGCATAACCCATGAGAAGGCACACTACACTCATAAAGAACTGCTTGAGTTTTCTAATTTGTGTGAACAGAAATCTGAAGAACAGGCACGGAAATAGATATTAAGGGTATGGGATAATGGTGGAAGGAACATAGAGTTGAATCAGGCTGAATTTATTGATTTAGGCCCACTAAGTAGGAACTCTGTGTTTAATGTTGCAGCTCAAGGAGTAAAAAATGGTTCTAATAGTTTATTTGTTTGGTTAGCTAAAATTTGGATTAAAAGATGGCCCAGTGTGAGTGAGCTGGGAATGCCTGATTCCCTTGGTTTAAGGTAGAGGAAGTGATCCAAAGGCTTAGGGAGATTGAGATGATGGAATGGATTAGTCACTTTAAATATACTCATCCCAGCTGGGAGGGTCCAGAAAATATACCCTTGACCAATGCCTTGCAAAATAGATTTGTGAGAGCAGCACCTGCGTCTTTGAAGAACCCTGTAATTGCTCTTCTCTGTGTGTCAGATCTAATAGTGGAAACCACAGTCACTCATCTACAAAATTTAAATACAATGGGAAGAATTAGATCCCAAGGTGGTAGAGGTCAAGTGGCGGCACTCAACTGACAAAGGCAAGGTGGGCATAGCTACCGTAATGGACAGCAGAGGCAAAGCAGCAATCTGAATAGTCTGACTTGTGTAGACCTCTGGCATTGGCTAATTAGTCATGGTGTTCCTAGAAGTGAAATTGATAGGAAGCCTACTGCATTACTACTTAATTTATATAAGCAGAAAACTTCTAGGTTGAATGCACAAAAGACTAGTTTGAAATATAAAAACAGAATCACAGCCCCTCAATCAATTTCCAGACTTGAGCCAGTTTATAGACCCAGCACCCCTTGAATGGAGGGAAGGCAGGGTCCCCTTGAGGAAGGATCTCATTGCATTACCGACAATTTATGCTGTTAATCTTCCTACCATCCTTCCCTAAGAAGATCTCTGGCCTTTTAGCAAGTTAACTGTGCACTGGGGACAGGGAAATGATCAGACACTTTGGGGAATACTGGACACTGGCTCTGAGCTAACATTGATTCCAGGGGACCCAGAACGTCATTGTGGTTCTCCAGTTAAAGTAGGAGCTTATGGAGGTCAGTTAATTAATTGAGTTTTAGCTCAGGTCCAACTTACAGTGAGTCCAGTGGGTCCCCAGACTCATCCCATAGTAATTTCCCCAGTGCCAGAATGCATAATTGGCACAGACATACTTAGCAGCTGGCAGAACCCCCACATTGGCTCCCTGATTGGTAGGGTGAGGGCTACTATAGTTGGAAAGGACAAATAAAAGCCATTAGAGCTGCCTGTACCTAGAAAAACAGTAAATCAAAAACAATATTGCATCCCTGGAGGGATTGCAGAGATTAATGCCATCATCAAGGACTTTAAAGATGCATGGGTGCTGATTCCCACCACATCCCCATTAAACTCTTCCATTTGGCCTGTGCAGAAGACAAATGGATCTTGGAGAATGACCATGGATTATCATAAGCTTAAACAACTGGTGATTCCAATTGCAGCTGCTGTACCAGATAGGCTATTCAGGCTATTTCATTGCCTGGGCAAATTAAACATCTCCTGGTACCTGGTATGCAGCCATTAACTTGGTAAATGCCTTGTTCTCCATCCCTGTCCATAAGGACCACCAGAAGCAATTTATCTTCCGCTAGCAAGACCAGCAATGTACGTTTACCATCCTCCCTTGGGGGTATATCAACTCTCCAGCTTTGAGTCACAATCTTAATCAAAGAGATCTTGATCACTTTTTCCTTCCTCAAGATATCACACTGGTCCATTACATTGATGACATTATGCTTATTGGCTCCAATGAGCAAGAAATAGCAAACATACTGGACTTATTGGTGAGACATTTGCATGCCAGGGGATGGAAAATCACCTAAAATTCGGGGAACTTTTACCTCAGTAAAATTTCTAGGGATCCAGTGGTATGGAGTCTGTCCAGATATTCCTTCTAAGGTGAAGGATAAGTTGCTGCATTTGGCCCCTCCTACAACCAAGAAAGAGGCACAATGCCTAGAGATCCTATTTGGATTTTTGAGGCAACACATTCCTCATTTGGGTGTGTTACTCTGGCCCATTTATCGAGTGACCCAAAAGGCCACCAGTTTTGAGTGGGATCCAGAACAGGAGAAGGTTCTGCAATAGGTCCAGGTTGCTATGCAAGCTGCTCTGCCACTTGGGCCATATGACCCAGAAGATCCGATGGTGCTTGAGGTGTAAGTGGCAGATAGGGATATTGTTTGGAGGCTTTGGTGGTCCCCATAGGTGAATCACAGTGGAGGCCTCCAGGATTTTGGAGCAAGGCCCTGTAATCTTCTGTAGATAACTACTCTCTTTTTGAGAGACAGCTCTTGGCCTGTTATTGGGCTTTGGTGGAAACTGAATGTTTGACTATGGGTCATTATGTCACCATGTGACGTGAATATCCTATCAAGAGCTGGGTGCTTTCTGACCTATCTAGCCATAAAGTGAGTCATGCACAACAGCATTCCATCATCAAATGTAAGTGGTATATATGAGATAGGAATTGAGAAGGTCGTGAAGGCACAAGTAAGTTACGTGAGGAAGTGGCTCAAATCCCCATGGTCTCCACTCCTGCCATCCTGCCTTCTCTCCCCCAGCCTGCACCAATGGCCTCATGGAGAGTTTGCTATGATCAGTTGACAGAGGAAGAGAAGACTACAGCCTGGTTCCCAGATGGTTGTGCATGATATGCAGGCACCACCCGAAATTGGACATCTGCAGCACTATAGCCCATTTCTAGGACATCCCTGAAGGACAGTGGGAAGAAATCTTCCCAGTGGTCAGGACATCAAGGCACTCACTTTACAGCTAAAGAAGTGTGGCAGTGGTCTCATGCTCATGGAATTCACTGGTCTTACCATGTTCTTCATCATCCTGAAGCAGCTGGATTGATAGAATGGTAGAATGGCCTTTTGAAGTCAAAATTACCATGCTAACTAGATGACAATAATTTGTAGGTCTAAGGCAAAGTTCTCCAGAAGGCCGTGTATGCTCTGAATCAGCATCCAATATATGGTACTGTTTCTCCCATAGCCAGGATTCATGGGTCCAGGAATTAAGGGGTGGAAGTGGAAGTGGAAATGGCACCACTCACCATCACCCCTAGTGATCCAATAGCAACATTTTTGCTTCCTGTTGCCACGACATTACCTTCTGCTGGCCTAGAGGTCTTAGTTCCAGAGGGAGGAATGCTGCCACCAGGAGACACAACAACAATTGCATTAAACTGGAAGTTAAGATTGCTACCTGGACCCTTTGGGCTCCTACTTTTAAGTCAACAGGCTAAGAAGGGAGTTACAGTTTTGGCTGGGGTGATTGACCCAGAGTATCAAGACGAAATCAGTCTACTATTCCACAATGGAGGTAAGGAAGAGTATGCATGGAACACAGGAGATCCATTAGGACGTCACTTAGTATTATCATGCCCTTTGATTAAGGTCAATGAGAAACTACAACAGCCCAATCCAGGCAGGACTACAAATGACCCAGACCCTTCAGAAATGAAAGTTTGAGTCACTCCACCAGGAAACAAACCACAACCTGCTGAGGTGCTTGCTGAAGGCAAATGGACTACAGAATGGGCAGTATAAGAAGATAGTCATCAATACCAGCTATGACCACACGACCAGCTGCAGAAACAAGGACTGAATTGTCGTGAGTATTTACTCCTTCTTTTGTTAAAAACATGTTTGTGCATGTATACACTTGTATTAAGAAAATGTCTTCATTTTCTTTTCTTTTTTCTTTATCATGTGATGTGACATATCTGGTCTCCATTACCCCTTATCTTAACCCAGACTTCTCCCTTCTCCCTTGATTCCAGGTCTTTAAACAAATTCATTCAACTGTTTGCCAGTAGAAAAATCTTTAACTCTACCTATGACCAGGCAGCCTATCTGCCCCCTTCAAGTTATCTCACCTTTCTGGAATAAATGGTTATACTTCTTACATATGTTGAGTGATGCCTTACATCTCTCTAAAATGTATAAAATCAAGCTGTAGCCCAACCACTTTGGACACATGTCCTTAGAATCTCCTGGGGCTGGGTTACCGGCCATTTGTCACTCCTACTTGGCTCAACATAAATCTTTTCAAATATTTTACAGAATTTGACTATTTTCATTGGCATGCACAACTTCAGAGAGCATTATTTTCATTGTATTCTATGTGAATGCATTCCCAGAGCACAATCCCAGAATAGAAAGTGAATGGTGCCCTTAGGACTAGTGCCATCCAGCACTCCAGGAGGAAATAGGTTCGATAAATCTGTCTTGATACTGATATGCCAATGAAACTAATTCTTAAGGAAAAAGTTGTTTTCCAAATAATTTTTCTCATTTGGGTGGCCCTCTTCAAGAATTAAGGAAAGAACCAGCATGTTCTAAGATTAGTACAAAAGGAAAATAGCAAGGAAGTGTCAAGTATAATGTTTTACAAAGGAGCTTAAGATTACTGTCCAGAAAACAATCTCCTAAATTAAAAAAAAAAAAAAAGGAAGCACAGAGGGCTGCAAATTAATATAGGTCAATAGCTAATAAAAAAGAAATGTCAGAGTAAAACCATTTACTGTCATGAGAAGTAAAATTCAGAAAAATGTAATCAAATATTTGGAAAAATGGCCTTATTTTTCCTCTTTTGAAACTCCAGCTAAATAAACGTTCTTGTAATTTTATCAGAAAGAGCAATATTAAAACAAATGCAATTATAAAGACACTGAAATTCTGCTCTATAATTAGATTTATATATTTTAATTACATTATACTTGCAGCAGTAATCGAGAACAATGTGTATTTTTTCAACTCATCTTGTTTAATAGAAATAGAAATAGGGTAATCATCACTGATTCTACAGTCTTTGTCCAAAGCAACCCTGGGGCCATAAAGTCTATATTACCATGGAAACAATCACCTTTTTAGTTTTTATTAAACCTAAAGAATATGGTTTCTTTGTTTTACTGTAAGCAAATTTTCTTGCTTATTTTTCTTTTTTTTTTTTTTTGGCAGTATTCTAATAGTTCTAAGTGAACCCAGGTTAAGTCTAAATTACATCAGAAAAGCATTTGATTGCCTTTAATAAAGGACAAATACAACTACCATCAAATAATTTAGATATCATTTGAATAATACAATTGTTTAATTTTCAGAATATTTAACTCTAATTGTTGGAAGGTGACCATGAACTTTTATAATTATTCAACTCTAATATCAGTATTTACAAGGAATTCTATTGTCAGTATTGATGGACAGCTCCAGTGTTTCATGCTATTATTTAGAAGACTGTTAATTGTGATTGCTGATAATCAAATATGGACGATGATGCTAATAAGCATCTTTCAGGGAGACATGCTGCACTTTGAGTAGATAAATGCAGAATCCCACGCTGATGATAGCCCCCTCCTACTCCAAGGTTTTTGTAAGCAAGTCTATAAATTAAAAATTTGGGTTTAGATAATTTCCATCTTCACTCTGCTCTATTTTTATTAAATTATTTTTCTTTAAATAAGATCATCAGAATAGCATTGAGACGTTATATGATAAATGCTAGCTAATAATTCTTGAATATTTAAAGCAACTTAGAGTTAACTATTTTAAACTTCACAAGAAGACTTTTAGAATAATTATTTTTGTTATTACCATTTTATAGAGGAAGAAACATACAGAGATGTTAAATAACTTACTATTAACCTCTATCTGTCTCTTAAACTGGAAAAACATCTTTAATATTACAAATAAGTTAATAACAATTAGAAATTACTAATGATTTTAGAAATTAATTAAAGAAAAATTTAAATAATGGTGGTTTCCTCTAAGCTTTTATAGTCTAATACATTATGCTTATCTGGCCAGCCAAAAGATAATAAGATCCCTACACACACAAAAATACTAAAGTCATTTTTAAAATGGCATTAAGCCAGGGGGCAAATTATATTTTAAATTCTGAACTATTGTAGCACTATTTGATAATAACATTAGGAACAAAGGGTTAAAATGAGGTGCTGAAAGTCTTCCAATCCAGTCGTTTGGTAATTAGTTCAATAATATCCCCTTACTCTTACAGATAAATATTAATTACAATTAAGCAAAGTGGAGGGGACAGGACTTCACCATGGTAGTGCCAAGCTAATATAGTCACAACGGTTTTCAACTGTACATCAGGGATTCTCCAATGTTTTATGTTATAGAATATTTTTAGAATGTAATTATATGTTTCAAAAAATATGCATGCATATGTAAAAGCACATATCTATAAAATATTCCAGAGACCTCACATATTTTAAGAAGACCATATGCTTTTGAACCTCATAAGTTCCTTCCCTTAAGCTTTTGAACAAAATATCTTATTTTTATTTATTTGTCTCTTTAATTGTTGAAGGCATTTATGTTTTGCTGTTATTCTTTTCAATTCAATGTATAAATAAAATAGAATATATCTGTCACTGTTAATTAATGGCATACTAAATTAAAATGAAGTAAGAGGACAAAGACCTATATTGAGTTCATCAGAGACTTGTGGGAAAGAGAAGTAAAAAGTTCCCATAGCTGACTTTCTTCATGACTAACCCAGCTCTCCTAGAATCCATTCGCCAGTAATGGAAATTCAACCCCCAATGGGTTTGGGTGTTGCTATTAAGAGCATACACCTTTTTAGAAAAATTGCTTTTAAATGAATCAAGCCACATACCATGAGCCACCTGTAACTTATCTTCTGTCTTCTTTCTGTTGGGTAATCAATAACCAATAGGTAACAAGCTTAGGAAATGAAAACTCAGCTCTCTTGGAAGAAGTAATAAATCAGAATAAACTCCACAGTTCAGTCTATGATCCAGAGCTTTTATGGGTTAAGGCTGAGTCTAGACCTTACCTGAACTCACATTCTTGCTTAATTTCTTACCCTTTCCTATTATGCTGTCCCCACTCCCATAGAGGTTTCTCTCTGGCATGCATTTTCTTAATAAATCCTTGATACAATCCAAGAAACGTAACTTACTATGGTTCCAATGCTATGAAATAAATACGACGGCGATGACTACTACTACCACTACTACTACTACTACTGGGTAACTAAATTAAAGTGACTACTTCCTATGTGTCTGGCATTCTTCTAAGCATTTTGGATAATTAATGTTCTTCAAGTTCAAAACATTTATTCTGATAATAATAATTTAATTGTAATAATTATTAATTACTGAGCTTTTCAAGTTATTCAATAGATAGGATTCAATAAACTAATGAATCAACTATCTCTGGCTCAAAAGTTTAACTACTCAGTGGTTCACCTTGCCCGCTGCTTAGACAGACTTGCAATAGAGAAAGGGTAATTCATGCAGAGGAGGCTGTGCAGGAGACCAGAATTTTATTACCACTCAAATCAGCCTCCCAGAGCATTCAGAGTTTTTAAGGACAACTTAATGGGTGAGGAAAAGCCAGTGAGCCAGGGGTGCTGATAGGTCAGGTAGGAGATGACATCACAGTAAATTGAAGCTGTCCTCTTGTGCTGAGTTAGTTCCTGAGTGGAGGCCACAAAATGAGATGGGCCAGTGAGTGTATCAGTTTGGGTGATACCAGCCGATCCATCAAGTGCAGGGTCTGCAAAATATCTCAAGCACTGATCTTAGGAGCAGTTTAGGGAGGGTCAGAATCTTCTAGCCTCGGCTGCATGACTCCTAAACTATAATTTCTAACCATGTGGTCAATTTGTTAGTCCTACAAAGGCAGTCTAGTTTCCAGGAAAGAAGGAGGTTTGTTTTGGGAAAGGGCTGTTATCGTCTTTGTTTTAAACTATAAACTCGGTTCCTCCCAAAGTTATTTCGTCCTACACCTGGGAATGAAGAAGAATAGCTTGGAGGTTAGCAGCAAGGTGGAGTCAGTTAGGTTAGATCTCTTTCACTGTCTCAGTCATAATTTTGCAAAAGCAGTTTCAAAAGTTCTTCAGGAAAATGAAGGCAAAGTAAAAAGTTATGCGTTTTTTTTCTGTTTTCTTTCTATAAGTAACTTAGAAATGAAAGATCATAATAAAGGGACATTTTTGGAAACTCAGTGACGTTAAATTATACACTAAGATTGTCTTACGAATTATTTCATTTTAATTAAATTTATTTTTTAAAGTTGGGTTTCTAGAAATGTTACCATAACAAACAAAATAAATTTTTATTTAATAATCTTAGTTACTTAAACAAATATGTTGTTTAAGGAAAAATCTATCTATTATATATTATTAAGTAAAGTAAATATGTCGCAGCATCCAATCAAATGATTAGCATGGAATAGGCTCTGCAGAAACACTGGTCAAGCAAATTTGACTTTTGGGCACAGAGCTTAGAAAGAAGAAAATCAACCTAATGAAGGCTTCCTGAAAAGAATTGTGTTTTCAGTAGAAACAATCTATAGGTGCAAGAATTTAGTTTGAGTATATATAAATTTATTGGGACAATTTATAAAAAGAAAACAGAAAAATAATACAAAATAGTAAATTCATTTAAGTGCACTTAATTCCTCATATTCAAACCAAAAAAAATAGTGATAATATAGACTCAACTAAAAATTATAATGGAACTATTTTATTTAAGTGATTAAAATTCTGCTTAATGACAGAGCAGGAGCATTGCCATCTTGGACAAGCCCCTCATTCTAAAGTTCACCTTAATAAAAAACTGCCTAAAGCCAAAGGGCATCAGCCTAATGGCTAGGGTCAGCGTGACCATACATCACAAATAACATCTCCAACCGGAAACATTACAAATTCCTTCCTGAACAGAGACATACTAGCCCTGAGATAACCCCCTCCTCCAGGAAGATGCCAGTCTCGAGATAACCTCCCTCTGGCCGGAAAGATGCCTGCCCCAAGATGAACTCCCCTCCTCCCACAGAGATTCCAACTCCGCCGTAAAACTTCTCCCTCAAACAGGAACATTCCAAGCTTCTGATAAGCCCCCTCACCCTAAAAACCACTATGCACTCTTAGTCTGTAAGAGAAAGCGCTCCTGACCGAAAGCGGCCAGGAGCACGTCTCAGGTTTTAACGAAAGAAAACTTGTCTTTAACTGCAAGCCAAGTTTCGTGTTTCTTTCCTCTTTCTTTAACTCTTACACTTAAAATATTAACTATTGAAAAGCATATATATATATATATAGAATACTTCTATTATATATTTAAAATTGGTTCTCAATTCCATCTATGTATAAACATATAAAGTGCAGGAATATCTACTTAAATATATTTCATCATAAAGGTTTAGGTATATATGGGTTTTTAATTGGTGGTGGTGGTTTTGTATAGTTTCACTCCAGGGCTATAGTGAATATTCAACGTGGCATTATTTTCAATGTCATACGCAATAATTCCACTTAATGAAATGTTTATATTTGGCCTAAAATTTAGGTAATGGGAGTCAATGAAGTGAGCAGAGAAAAATAAAGAATTTAGAGTGATTTGAAACTATAGAAAATTTTTAATTAATCTCCCTTGAGAAAAATAAGCAGAACAAGGGGGAACTATGAAATTCAATAAACTTTTATGACCGTCACATTCTTAAGCCAAAAGTATCCATTGGTACCATTTTAAATGCAGCAAAGGCAACCAATTTTTTTAGCACAATGAAGAGACCAATTTCTGCCATCGGATAAGAAGGGCTCTGCAGACACGGAATATACAAAAGTTCTCTCACTACCACCTTCAATCACAAAGGAAGCTGAAAAAAAGAGAAAAAAATCTTGTTAAGGAACCTATCATAAGTATACCTAAAAAGATCCAGAAATAAGGAAGGCAGGAGCTCCTGAAGGGTAGTAATAGTTTTGTATTTAAAATGAGAGTACAGTCTTTTCATTCCATTTTTATGGTAGATGAAGGAAGTCTAAAATGAAAGGAGCAACTCAGCTCTGTAGGCGACAAAAGGGCATATCTTTAGAGCACTGACTTAATATTCTCTGGGAAGGTGCAAGGCAGTGAAAATATGTCAATAGAGGAAGCAAAATAGGTGCTGATAGAATATTATTGAAATAAAAGTAACAAATGAGTTTAAGATGTATAATCAGCTAATTCAAATGAAAGAGAATAAAGTTAAGGGATGAAATGTTTACATATTAGTATTAAGTCAAATGCTGAAAAAGGAAACATACTAGGCAATAAGTTCTTATGTTCTCAAAACCATATGTTACAAGTAGATAAAATATGAAGTACATTTTTCTGCTTGAAATTACCTTAACCATTTTGATTTCCATCATTTTATGAGTCATTTCAATACTGAAGCTCTGAGATTGCATGTTCACTGACTCAGCATTTTATACTGATTTGGTGTAATTTGAAGGTGCATTTAGACTATCAACAGACTTTTCCAAATTGTAGCAAAGTATCTGTATTCAGAAACTTAATATTACTCATAGTTCTTTTATCATCTTTTTCAATAAATGATCAATATTTAAATTATTTTCTTACTACGCATTTCTGTAAATTGCTTAATATAGGCCCTGTGCAACAAAAAAGGAAATTCTACATTTCCTCACTACAATTACTACTTTGTAATATGCTTTCTTTAGTTACATTTTTTTCATCTTATGTGCTAAACAAAATAACAAATCTATTATGCATGATAGAATGTACACTTTTCCAACTTATCCTGTATGAAATGTATCTCATTTAAAAAACTACTGTATAAGTTATTCAGGACTTGGGATTTTAATATTTGAACAATTTTTTGAGAAAGTAGATACATCAAATTATTCTTATGCAGGTATTTAATCATGTTATTATTGTAAAAAGTCAAATACTGTGTCTTTTTGTGTATAGGGTCATCTATTAATTAGAATTAGAGAAAACTGTCACCCAGTAGTGTATTTCTGGTAGTATGTATGTAGAAGCGTCACCTTTATATCCTCAGTAGGATGTTTTAAGACATCAGCCATTCTCTACAGTAAAGTAATCTTTGCTGTCACACTGGCCCTCTGCCCTCGTGATAAGGCAGAGGGTCTAACTGAACTGATTAACACAAGCCATCTGCAGACAGTAAAGCTGAAAAAGCACACTGTAACACATGCCCATGTGGGCTTTGGGAGTCACAGACACCCATCCCTAGATGCTGCTGAGGGGCCAGAGCCCAAAAGTGCTCTCCATGACCTCTGTACCTGCTTGTCTGCATGCTCCCCCTAAGGGTTTGATTAGCTGGGCAGCCGAAGGAGTGAGCCACACAGCCTTGTGGTTTCTTCCTGAGAGGTGGATAAGGAAACTCTCCTGTTTCAGTAGCATACTCCCTTAGATTGATAGCTGTAGGAAAAAATATTTGCTAATGTCTATAGTAATAATAAAATATCCCTTGAAAAGCAAAAGTTTAGAAATTATCGATTCTATGTTTATGTGTCTAAAATAACTTAAAAGTTATTTTAATTCACTAAATAATTCATGTTTATAATGCTAAGTGTCACGTAAGGAATATCCTATTTTGTACATAGTAGAATTTATGTTTTATTAGCATTGCAATTATTAATTTTATAAAAAAGCATGTGATCAGAAATTCAGTTGCAATTAACTAAATTTTAAGACATCAAATTTTAGACAACACTAAGATAATACTATAGACTTTAACAGCTACATACATAGTCCAATATTTGTAAATGTACTTTCTACAAAACACAATAACTGATAACAGTGTAGACAGTACTCTTTTAGAAACGATTAATACAGTATATATTTTATGTTTAAAAAATTATATAAATTTAAATAAAATAAAGATCTACTTGACATTATGTTAACCCTTCATTTTTCTAAAATCGAATCATCGAAAAGGACACATGTAGGTACACATTGTCAAGTTTCCATTGATTTACCATGGTCTCCATAGGGATAGCTGTCTATCTTACATATTTGTGCCTAAGTCAGGTTTTGAAATATTTTATGCCAAGGAAATTAGACAGTAATATCTCCTAAAATCTTTTTAATGGTATGTTTTGTGCAATTATTTTTAATCTGTTTTACTAAGTTTTTAAACTATAAGCTGTAAAATACTTAGACTATCTATATAGATTGGGCCTAATCTGTTTCTTATTTGAAGGAAATAGAAATGTCTGGTTTAGTCTGATAAATGGCAGCCTTTAATAAATTAATTGCTTCAGAAGTCCTAGCTAAATTATTTTGCAAGAAAATTCAGCTCTGTAAATAGCTGTCTTAAATGCACCATGACCTCTAGTTTTTATCTGATAAATTATTTCCCATCCAAACCCAGTGTCAGCAGTTATTGTCCTAGTTACAAATTGGCTGTTATGCAACTGAATTAATTTTGATCAGAGACATTTTCCATTTGTGCACCCATACAACTGAGTGCTTTATAAAATTTGTATTTTCTTTTAAAGAAGCATGTTATGGAGAAGTTATGAGATGGTATCTGAACCAAATTGAGTTGCGCCAGTAACAAAAATTATATAATAGAAATAATACAAACTTAAATTATTAAACATCTTGTTTATTAAAATATTTTCTTTTAAATAATGATGTAGGAGAACATGTGCCCTAGATTAATTCAGAACTGTGAAGATTTACCCATCCAGATTTAGTATAACCAAGAACTTACACATATGTATCACTTAGGAGAGTCAGCTATTGCTTTCATAAGAGCCATGCATAATCCAGGTGTTTGAACGAGAATAAAATCTTTCAACAAATTTATTAAGTTTTACGTGAAGGGAGAATTTACATGAAGGGAGAATCTATGAATGTACTGTAATAAGAAAAATATGCACTTTATCAAGTAATTGGCCTAATGCCAGGCTATATATGTTCAGAGAATTCTTGAGATTAACAGGAAAATAAATAATTATTGTGGAACTCAAAGTAAAGAGCCTGGTGGAAGGTCCTGCTACCCACAGTAGAGCTGTAAAGGAAGCAACAATAGGGTGTCAGACAGCTTGGATTTGAGTTTTTTGTTGTTGTTGTTTTCTAATGTAATGACCTTAAATAAGTTGCCTCACTTGAAGAAACCTCTGTTTATTCAGTAGATAATGACTCAATTTTAGGCTTGTTAGAAGCATGAAATGTATGATGCAAGCATTGTTGAAAGTATAATCCATTTCTTAAGAGCATTCCTCTTTCTTTTTGAAAAATGAAGTATGACAACCAGTGACCCACAGATAGTCAAAAATTATGGTATGTGTAAATAAAAATGAGTGGTTTTTTTTTCCCCAAGTATTTTGGGAGGAATCTTTCATAAAAAAAGACCCAATTATAAATTTTTTGAATCTAAGCGCTGACTCAACCGCTTGTCATTCTGTGGTCCTAAAGCAGTCATTTAATCAGTCTAAACTTGTTTTTTTAACTGCATAATTAGGGAAAAATACCTCACATGCTTGTAATTATAATTAAATCAGGTAATACGCCAAAATATTTTACAAGTCTTGTAGCAATAATGAACAGTAATCTCCATTATCATCACTATTATAAAAACAAGCATGATTTCCAGACGGTCAGTGATGTTATCAAAGTTTATTAACAGAGTTCTTCAATGACTTTTGCCATTGAATTTTATTTCATAGATTTTGGAAAAGCTGATTAATAAGGAGACTATAATTATGCAGAAGAGATACTAGAAAGAGAGCAATACCTTGTTTTCCTACTCTAGGGGAATAAAAAAGTTCTTTTTCCTACTACCCTCCCAGGTTCTAGGGCTGGAACCACATAAATTGGACTAACAAAAGACAGATTAACAAAAGAAAAACAAACTGATTTGCATAAAGTTTACAAATTAAGTACCCAGAGATGAGTTATTCAAGGATTGATTAGAATTGGGCTTATCTAGGATCTTAACAAAGGAACAATACATTTTTAGAGAGGTGACAAAACAAAGGAAAAGAACTTTAAGCTTTCAGGAGCAGTAAATTGTGGAAAGGCAAATATGTAAGGAAACTAAAAGAAAATAAGAGCTAGTAGTAAAGTTTGTTATGTAGATTTTCTGGTACTGTTTCTGCATTAATAAAGGTGTAGAGTTGTCTCCAGTGATTTACCTTTGTCCTTCCAGAGGAAAAGGGAAGGGAGACACCTTTGTAAATTTATTTTCTGCTTTTAGGCAAATAGACACAGAGCAGATAATTTTTCTTGTATCTGCTTCTTAATTGTCTTCAGCTGAGAATAATCCTCAACTCAAAGTGGCATATTTTAAGGTGGCATGTTCTGCTATTATACACTACAAATGTCCTGTTATTGAACAAAAACATTCATAGCCTTATTTGAAGAATGAAGTTTAGAGTGAAACAGAATCAAAATATCTAATATCAAAAGAAAATAGAAACATAGTTTAAGATATACTGAACACCTCGTTAATGAAATAACTATAAAAGATATCGAGGCCTTTTTTGGAATACATTTTGCATTACAACAAGGTAAAATGACTTCTCTTTCCAATGTAAGTATTAAGATAAATGTAAAGAACAAAACTGTATACTAAATTGTGTTTCATTGTACTATTTTATGTTTGAAAAAACTTCTGAAAATAATTTAGATTAAAAGTGAATAAATTAAGTATTCCAGTTTTAAGTATAGCTTTTTATATTTATAGAATATGATCCAAATATTTTAACATCTGTCTCACCAGTATAGAATGTAATTTGCTTAAGGATGATCACATCTTAAACTAACTTTAATGCTCACTGGAGTCACAATTATTGGAAATTCATTACCATTTGTTTAATGAATTGTAAAAGAAACAACTAATTTTTGATGAATAGAATTTATATTTAACTACCACTAAAATCAGGCTGACACCTTTGACACTGTAATGGAATAGAAATTTAAGAAACTAGTCAGGAAGGTGGAGCAGGAAATTTTTCTGACCATTTCGCAGTTGGGAACCGGAGTGCCGGTGCTGGAGCTAGCTGGCCACTTCAGCACCTGCAGGGGTAAACTCCTGCAGTGGAACTCCTTGCACTTAACCCATCGCAGGAGGGAGCATGCAGGTAAGCGAGTACAGGAGCCAGTGTGGATGCTGGCAGGAGCAAAACTTTGTGTGGGCCCCACAGCAGCATCTTGGGGGAGTGCCTGCTACCCTCGAAACCCCAGAGGTTGTGTGTTACAATGCTCTTTTAGCTTTGCTGTCTGCACACGGCTTAAGTGTTAAACAGTTCAGTGGGGCCACTGCCTTTTCCTGTGAGGTGGTTCCTCTCCACCAGCAAATGTAGAGGGTCAATGTGACAGACTTTAGCGTCCGCATCTGTGGCACCAGAGTTCTTGTTTGGCGTCCAAGAAAAATCAGATTGCACAAATTGAAGGGTGGTGAATGCTGAGGATTTTATTGCTGATAAAGTGGCTCTTAGAGGGAAGAGGAGCTGGGAAGGGGATGGAGTGGGAAGATAATCTTCCCCCAGAATCTGGCTATCCCCAGCTGGCCTCCTCTCCAAAGCAGTGCTGCTAAGCTGTTCCTCTGAAGTTAAGCTGCTCCTCTGAAGTTAAGCTGCTTTTCTCCAATGTCAAACTATAGTCTCCAAGGTCCAGCTCCTTCTCCTCTTCTCTGCTCTCTGCTAGTGGAGTCTGGGGATTTCATGGGCACAGGATGGGGGCAGGGCAGGCCAGGATGGTTTGGGAAAAGGCAACATTCAAGCAGGAAAACAGAAATGCATGTTCTCACTTTGGGCCATGGTTCCAGGCTTGAGGGTTGGGCCCTTGCCGAGGACCCACATTTTTTGCCTAGGATTTCCCTAACTCCTGTCCCTACCATTTCCACCCTCCAAAGAGGCACATCTAACTGCCATTAGAATATGGATAATGACCGGTTTTAGCTACTTCCTGCTCACAGGGGGCATTGTTTTGGGAAGAACAGCAGTTACATTCCTCCCAGAGGTTTATCTAACAGTCCTTGGTAAAAGGGAGCCATTGTTCAAGACTCTGATTGCCTGATTGGAGTTTGATGGCCTCTAGGAAAGAAGAAACAAATTTCACAAAATTAAGTATGCATGGATTAAATATGTGTATTACACAAAGAGAAGTTAAAATGAGAGAATTTAGTGCCAAAGATTACAGATATAAGAAATGAAATATACTAATTATTCTGAAAATAACATTGTACCCCATAGTATAGAATAGAACGGAGGTGAAAACTTCAAGCATAGGCAAGACTATAAAGAAGGACTTATAGTCTTGGAAAGTTAATTATTAACACTTATTTTTTGCAACTGTTAGCTGAGGTCCCCTATCTCTTTACGTTGGTGCTTTGGGTGCTTTTTTGGGTTAATGGAGGTAACTCTGTTGGCTTCCCAGGCCTTTACTTGGATATCATGAATTTAAGAATCTATTCCAGTGAACTCCACTGCCATAGGAGTAGAGAGAAGTACATTTAAGGTTCCTTCCAATTTGGGATTATAGAGAAAGAGTGGAAAGGAAGTAGCTTTACCAGTACTAGGTCCCCTGGGTTGAATAGAGGTGGCCCTAATTCACAGGATTCAGCCTTCAGCAGTTGTTTTAGTTCCTGTTGGAAAGGGGCCAAAGAAGTTATATGTTTAATTAAATCAGAGGTTTCTTGGTCTAGCAAGAAATTATTGGTGAGAAAAGGCCATTCATACATCATTTTAAACATACTCAAACCTAGTTTTGAAGGGGTATTTCTAATACATAGTAGGGCTCTGGGGAGAAGGGTAGTTAAGGAAAGGTGAATTTCCTGAGACAGTTTTCTTGAGGTGACTTTTGATAATATTATTTGTTTTTTCAATCTTTCCTGAGAATTGTGATTTCCAAACACAAAGAAGGTAGCACTGTATGGCTAGTGCATTTAAGACCCCCTGGGAGACAGCTGCCTTGAATAAGGAACCATTATCACTCTGGAGGTACCTAGGAAGTCCAAAGCAAGGAATTATCTTATTAATTAGTACTCTTTTTACCTCAGAGGCTTTCTCTGTCCAACATGGAAATGCTTCTACCCAGTTAGTGAAGGTATCTATCTGTACTAGGACATACTGGATGCAACTTGCCTTTGGCATATGGGTGAAATCCATTTGCTAGTCTTCGCCTGTGTAGCCTCCTATCCTTTGGGTTCCTGGGCAAATAAGCCATTGATTAAGGGGATTACTTTTAAAGCAGGTTTTGCAAGGGTTAATGACCTATTTAACCATTTGCATCAGGTTTTTACCTGAGAACAATCTCTGAGCCAATTGATAGGTTTCACCCTTACCTAGGTGGAAGGCCTGGTGAAGGCTTTTAAGAACTTTCCATATATTGGCAGCTGGTAGATAAAGCTTGTTGTCCTTCTATTGTAGCCTTCCTGAGGACTGAAAGATGTATCTCTGAGAGATGGCCCATTTTATTTCTGTGGAGAATATTGAGGTTTTATTTCTCTTATAGGGCCCTCCCAGATCAGTGTGGCTTCAAGTAGATCAGAAATCTGGGGACCTCTCACTGCTGATTTAGCTGCTTGGTCTGCCAAACTATTTCCCTTGGCTACTTCATCCATACCTTTATGGTGGCCTTTACAATGTATTACTGCCACTTCCTGTAGGAGAAAAAACACGGAAAATAGTCTATCAATTTTCTCATGATATTTAATGGGAGACCCATTAGCTGTGAGGAAGTTTCTCTCTTTCCAGATAGTGACATGGGCATGGAGGACTAAGAAAGTGTACTTAGAATCAATATAAATGTTAACTGATTTTCCTTCACTTAATTCAAGCATCCTCATGAGGGCAATTAGTTCAGCTAGTTGAGCACTTGGGCCTGAGGAGAGAGACACACTCTTAACAATATTATTCAGAGTAACTATTGCATACCCTGCTTTATGGAGCCTTTTGTTCTACAAAAGGACTATCATCTGTAAAGAGAATTCAGTTTGGGTGCTCTAAGGGGGTTTCAAAGAGGTCCTCTCTAGCCACATAGGTTTGTACTGCTATCTGCTATCTGTTATGTTCAAACTCCCCAGCTTCCCCTGGGAGAAAAATGGCTGGATTTATAAATGGACACGTTCTTAGTTGAACTGCAGATCCTTCTAATAGCAGAGCTTGATAACTGAGGAGGTAATTATCTGTTACCAGAGACTCCCTTTGGAAGACAGCAGTCCTGCCACATTATGTGAAGTGTAGACAGTTAAGTTATTCCGCATGCTTAGCAGCCTCTGGTACCAGCAAGGCTATCACTGCAACTGCATGGAGGCAGGCCAGCCATCCTTTGGCTATCAAATCAAGCTCTTTACTTAGGCTGCTGGGCTGGACCTCAGGCCTGTGTTAGAACTCCCAATGCCATTCCCTTTCTTTCTGACACATAAAGGTTGAACATCTTCTATATAGGGAGACTAAGGGATGGTACCTTAAGAAAGGCTTGTTTTCATTAGTTAAAAGCCTTTCTAGCCTCCAGTTCCAAATTAGAGAGTAAGTTTTAGTTTCCTGAATCTTTTATTAGGTGATATAAGAGACAAGCTATTTCACCATACCGAGGTATTGATAGTCTGCAGAATCCTGTAATGCCTAAGAATCCCCTCAGTTGCTTGAGGATTTGGGGGAGGGCAAGAGAGGTGATGGGCTTAATCCTTTCTTTGCCCCATGCCCTGGTACACTCTGACAAGTCCAGGCCTATGTACATCACTGAAGTTTGACAGAGCTGAGCTTTAAATTTTGAAACCTTATATTCTCTGTTAGCCAGATAATTAAGAAGAGCCATACTGCCCTCCTGAGAGATTTTTCTCAGTTGGAGAACAGAGGAGAATGTTATTTATGTATTGTAAAGCTTTAACCTGATGATATGGTTTGGCTTTGTGTCCCCACCCAAATCTCATCTTGAATTGTACTCCCATAATTCCCACATGTTGTGGGAGGGACCCAGTAGGAGATAATTGAATCATGGGGGTGGTTTCTCCCATACTGTTCTCATGGCACCGAATAAGTCTCACAAGATCTGACAGTTTTATAAGGAGAAACCCCTTTCATCTGGCTCTTTTTGTCTGCTGCCATCCATGTAATATAGGACTTGCTCCTCCTTGCCTTCCACCATGATTATGAAGCTTCCCCAGCCATGTGGAACTGTAATTCAATTAAATCTCTTTCTTTTGTAAATTACGCAGTCTCAGGTGTGTCTTGATCAGCAGTGTGGAAACAGGCTAATACACTTGAGGATAAAGGAACTTGAAAGGATCTCTTGACAATTCCTGCCCAAACAAGTGGGGGCTGTCTCAGAATTCATGAGGTAACAACATCCAAGTTAACTGGGTAGTTTTTGGTTAGAGGGATCCTCAAATGAAAACAATACTGGGAGTTGAGGTGTAATGGTATGCGGAAGAAGGCATTCTAGGCATACTTTAGATCCAAGACTGTGAATCATTTAGTTACCTCAGGTATTTGAACTAATAGGGTACAAAGTTTGGGAACCACTGGGTATAGTGGACCACAACCTCATTAATGAGGCACATGTCCTGAACTAGCCTCCATTCCCCATTGGCTTTTTGTACCCCCAATATCGGGGTACAATAAGGCCTGTTGCAGGATTTGAGGAAGTGCTGCAACCTTAAGTTATTAATGATGACTTCTAGTCCTTTCCTAACTTCTGGTTTCAGGGGACATTGTTTCTGGTTAGGAAAGGAGGTGGGATCCTTAAGGTGGACCTGGAACTGTGTGGCATTTATGGCTTGGCCAATTTTCCCTTGAATTGCCCAAACTTTGGAGTTAATATTAGTCTCAACCAGGAGGAGACAAAAAAGTTTGTCCTAGTGCCATCAGAATGGTGGTTCCCCTATGGGCCAGAATATTCCTGCCCAACAGAGAAATTGGACTTTTAGGCGTAATTAGAAAGGCATGGGTGAACAAGAAGTCTCCTCAACTAAAACTAAGGGGTTGGGGAAAGTATCAGTTAAGGGCCTTCCTGAGATGCCCCCAGGGTCATTCTAAGAGAGGAAAAAGAGCCCAAGTTGGAGAAGAGAACCAAGAGACCAGCCATAGCATCAAAAAGGAGGTCTACTTTTCTCCTTATGATTTCGAGGATTACCCAGGGCTCCTGGATAGTAATGGTGCTCTGGACCACTGGAGCTGGGGAGAGGAGCCCCAGGACCCATTAGTCCTGCTGGTCCATTTGGGAGACTGATTCCAGACCCAGTGACCAGCATTCACAGGAACAGTTCACCTTCCAGTGGTGTCCATTACAGATTGAACAGGGTTGAGGTGGCTTCCTCATTCTGCCTGGGCAATCCTTCCTAAAATGCTAAAATGTCCTGGCTTACCACATCTGTAGCAGTTAACAGGTGCACCTCAGGGATTGTTAGGTTTGTGGGCTTGCGTGGTGGCCATCACAGCCTCTGCCTCTTTCCTGTTTTCCCCCTCTTTCTCCTGGGCCTCCCTATTTCTATTATAAAAGACCGAGGTGGCCACTTTTAGGAGGTTCTCTAAAGTAATGCTTGGTTCCAGAGCCTGTTCCTGCAGCTTCCTCCTGATGTTAGGGGCTGCCTGAGTAATACATTTATCCTTTAGGGTTAGCTATCTCTTGACTGAATCAGGATATAGAGAGGTGTGCTTTACCAAGGCCTCTCTTAACCTTTCCAGGAAGGCAGAGGTTTGACCCCATTTTTTAACACTATATGTAATACAAAGCTCATCTTCAAATCCCTCTGCCACTTGCAGAGCAACCTGCTTCCCAATGTTAGTTAGGGTTTGGTTCAAAAGTGAAATAACATCTTGCCAGGAAACTTCAAATACTTGGGTGAAATTCTGGAAAGCCTCTGTATATCTGTCAGGGCTATCTGAAAACTGGCCAAGATCCCCCTAAATTTGCCTTAGGTTCTGTAGAGAGAAGAGACCTGGGCTTTACTGGGGCCAGATTCACTGGGCATCTGTTGGAGGGCAAGAGTGAGACTGGGGCTTGTCTAGGGTGAGGGTTTCTAAGAGGAGGCAACTGAGAGAGAGTAGCTGCATAGGGAGGATGGGGTAGACCCAGAGAAGCAGGGCTGGAGGGAGATGGCTCCCCTGCTGGAGATGCCTCTGGGGTTTATTTCTTTAGTTCCCTGGGATAGCCCCTTGCAGCCTCTTTTGAGATGGCGAATAGTAGTGCTGGATCAATCCTGCACTGTCAGCAAAGGTCTGGATTACCCTGAAAGATAAAGAAAGCCTGCACATATGGGGCTTTAGACCATTCGCCCTCACATTTACAGAAACGGTTCAACTGCAGGATGGTATTGAAATGAAATGAATGCTTCTTTCCTGAGGTGAAGCTAGTTCTCCTGCAGATTATAATCTGGCCAACCCTTTTTGCAGAGGGCTATGAGGGGTTTTTTCTCCAGAGTCAGAGGGTCAAAGTAGTTCCAGTGACTTAGGATATACTCCAGAGTAGCATAGATTGGAGGTAGTGAAAAGATAGATGGTTCTTCTGAAAAAAAGGGAAATAGGCATTTCTCATTTCACTTCCTTCTTTCAGCAAAATCTTGGGGTGTGTGAGAGAGAAAAAACGGGTATCCCTCTTTTCTCTTTGTCTTTTTATCCCCAAGACCCAGTGGCCTTAGACAGATGCCACACATGTGTGCCATTACAGCCTGCACTCGTGAAGCAGGGAAGGCCTAGAGAATAGGGATTCTCCACACTCACCTACACCTCCATCCCCACTACTGTCAGCAACCTTTTGCTTCCCTGGGTCTTATCTATTCCATGAAGCATGACCTCCTTCCATGAAGCAGAAGCTTAATCAGCAGAAACTGGAAATTGCTTCTGCCTGCCTGTTTATACTGTGCCTGTTGCCTCACTTCGGGTCCCTTATATCTGGTTTCCCTTTCTAGGGCTTTAACCTGAAGTTTAGAATTGAGTTGAGGACAAAAAGGTGTTTCAGGGGGTGCATGGGTTTATTTAGATTAAGTCCCAGAAAGGCCTTGCCAATTTTGCAGTTATAAGCTGGTGGAGATCACTCCTCTGTTGCCTCCCTATCATAAGCAGAATTCTGAGGTAGGAAAAGAACTCTCTCACATAGAAAAGGAAAAAAGAAAGAAAAGCAGCTTAAAGGGGTGGGGGAGCCTCTTGCTCTTTTCAAATGGGTTTCTTCAATCAATGTATTCCTCCTCCATTTCAAACCAAGCTGGTCTCCTTGGCCAGGGGAGGAAAGACTCTATGGGCACATGGTGGGAGGGGCCAGAAAGCAGGAAATGTTGGCCAGACACCCACATGGGGTCTTTGTTCCCCAAGATGGCACTGGGGCTCTGGCGGCAGTCACAGTTCTCTCCCGCACTCCAAGTGGCCATTGGGAGCGGCATGTGCATCCTGCAGACATGCCCGAGTGTTCCAGCTGGGAGGGGAAAGGGTGACGAGGGGAGCCACGGTGCGTTGCAGGTGTCTGCAGCTGTCAGGGTGGGGGTGGAGATGGCACCTCTAGGAACAAACGAAAATTACATTGTTCTGAAATGGATATCTGATTGCTGGGCCAAATGCTCATTTTACTTAGTAACAGTTCTGCAGTTTGCCACAAAATTCTTAATATTATAAAAAAAGAGATAGGAGCCATTTTAAATGATGAAAGGAGACAAAAAATGTCATAGAAAAGTCTGGGGTTCTTGGCCAACACCTTGACAGGTGGTCAGAGACTGGGTTCAGTCTTGAGGCCTCCCAGCAACACCTTCCAGCTTGAGGCCAGCAACACCCGGCAGCGACCTCGGCCAGATGCCTTCATTTGCCTCAGGACTCTATTCCGGTCCCCTGCAACATCAAGATCTCTTGATGGGAAAGAGACCAAACATTCCTTTCACCCAAAAGAAAGAGAGATGGCAAGGTTGCATCCTGTTTCCTGCAAGTGGCATAGCTCAGAGGAAAGTCTGAGGACAACGAGACAGATCCGACAGATTTGCGTTTACTCCCCCTTCTGGTAGATCCCAAATAAGCCTCCAGATGAAGCAGGAAATTTCCCTGACCTCTTTGCAGGCGGGAACTGGAGTGCCAGTGCTGGAGCCAGTCAGCTGCTTTGGTGCCAGCAGGGGCTAACTCCACTCACTGGGCCCTGTTGCACTTAACCCCTTGCAGGAGGAGCATGCAGGTGAGTGGGTGCAGGGGTCTAAGTGAGTGCTTTTGGGTGCCAGCCAAAGCAAAACTCCATGTGGCCCCGTAGCAGCATCTAGCAGGAGTACCCACAACCCCTGAAGCCAAGGAGGGTGTGTGTTACAGTGCTCTTTTAGCTTTGCTGCCTGTGGACGGCTTACGTGTTAAACAGCTCAGTGGGTCCTATGCCTTTTAACATGAGGTGTTGCTCTCCACCAGAGAGGGGATAGGATTGGTGTGACAACCTTTAGCATCCACACTCATGGCACCCGAGCTCTTGTTCAGCATCCAGGAAAAATCAGGTTGCACAAATAAATTGAAGGGTGGTAAATTAAGAAGATTTTATTGCCAATGAAAGTGGCTCTCAGTGGGAAGGAGGACTGGAAAGGGAATGGAATGGGAAGGTGATCTTCCCCAAGAGCAATGCCATGAAGCCATCTCCCAGAAGTAAAGCTGCTTTTCTTTGATGTCAAACCATAGCCTCCAACATTCCATTGCTACTCCTCTTCTCTGCTCTCTGCCAGCAGAGCCTGGGGTTTTTACGGGCACAGGATGAGGGGCAGTGAGGGCCAGGGTGGTTTTGGCAAAGGCAACATTAGAGTGGGAAAACAGCAATGCACATATTCACTTTGGGCTGTGGTCCCATGCTTGAGGGTGGGGCCCTTGCTGGTGACCCATCCTCTTCTGCCCAGAATTTCCCTGCCTCCTGTCCCAATCAAAAGTACAAAATCTGCTAGTTGAAAAATACACAAGAGTGAGAATGAGTATATCTGATATACACTGGGAGTAATTGAAAAAAATTGCATTTCCCTTTGTGCAATTTACAGGTCAATATGGGTTGTAATTTTTCAGTTTACTTCAAAAATGAGGGGGAGGGTATTTCATACTTGTGAAATTTGCCAATTTTATTGGCAAAATATCATATAATTGTTTTAATAATTTATTTACTTTTTATTGCTAAATAGAACTTTTTTAAAATTTAGTTCTCTAATTCAACACATCCAAATTTTCTAATAATTTAAAAGGCTGTTCTTATTTGTGTTGACTTCATAAATATAAGCACAGAAACAATCTAAAATTATGTTTAATTTTTGTATGTCAGAAATTTTGAGAGTAGCCAGGTACAGTGGTTTACACCTTTAATTGCAGCACTTTGGGAGGCTGAGGTGAGAGGATTGCTTGAGTCCAGGAGTTTGAGACCAGTCTGAGCAATGTGGCAAGACACAGTCTCTACAAAATATAAAAAATTAGCCAGGGGTGGTGGCGTGCCCCTGTAGTCCCAGCTACTCAGGAGGCTTAGGTGAGACGATTTCTTGAGTCTGGTTGGTCAAGGGTGCAGTGATCCATGATCATGCCACTGCACTCCAGCTTGGGCAACAGAGAGACCCTGTCTCAAAAAAAATTTTTTTTGTAAACATTTTGTCAATTTTTATAATTTTTTTAATTTAATACTTTCTTAAATATTCTGTTAAAACTTTAAAAATAAAATAAATTAACTCAAATTAAAATTATGTAAATTGTGCCACTTATATAAAACAAGTATTACTTTTTTAGACATAACATTTAGATATTCTGCTACATATATGTTACATTATCAATTATTTTTATGTATCTTTTATACAAATTAAATTTTTGAATTATAATATACACATATATAAAGCTCCCCAAAATGTATAGAAATATGATTGATTTGGGTTACATACTACATGATTGTTATTATAAAAGTAATTCACATCTTTATAAAATCAAATAGTCTAATTATCACTTGTTGCTTTATTCAAAGTCTTTATTAATGTATTTTAACAGTTTTTATGTGTCTTTGCGTAGACTCTGCATTTTATACTTTTGGAAAATTATATACATAGATATAGAGAAAGAAAGTGGAAGAGACAAATGCATTATTATAATTGGCTCAATTTTAAAAATTATTTGGAAATGTTTTGTATTTATATGAAAATTATTGATTTTTGTCTATCTATAATAAGACCTAAAAACTTACTAATTACTAATGAATTTTCATAGTTTTCCTCTAATTAAATATATTATTTTAAGGTTGACAAAATAACTCCTATTTTCTTTTCCAATGTATTATGCGCAATATTATGTTTTCTTTACTGTATCTCTATGTTCATATTTGTGTTAAAATTACTGGTGAAACTGGGCCTTCTTTTTATTTTTCTAATTTTAATTCTAATGCCTTTAGGTTTTCACCAGTAAGTAGATTGCTGCTTTTAAATTTATACATGTATGCTTATGATAAATGTACATATATGTTGAAAATTTAAGAAGTATTATTTTTATGTTACAAAAAGGTATTAAGTTGGTGCAAAAGTAATTGCGGTTTTTGCCATTACTTTCAATAACCGCAATTACTTTTGCACCAACCTAGTAATATGGAGTAAGATATTTAATTTGTAGACATTGTACTGAATGTATACTTTTTAAAGTTTTTCACTTTAAAAACTTAAGAGTCTCTGTCAAGGCCAAGTTGAAGTGGCCAGCAGAGCAGGATATGAAGAGTGATAATTATGCTTACTTTGATGTTGTAATTCTATGGTTTAAAGGAGTTTGGTTTGGATCTCTGCTTGTCTGGCAGTTTTCCCAGCCACTAAATTCACTTCAGTGGTTTGCTAAAGGACAACAGCAACTTTTCAATATAAAAATCTCAGTGAGCTATGATTAGAATTGAATTGTGTCCTATATTGAAACACTGGCCTGCTTCCATTGGATATGAGTATCAAATCAGCTATTTTATAAATGAGTACATTGAAAAGCATATGCAGCGCAATTTGTTGTACATCAGAAATATGAAAATCTCAAACTTGCTCCACAGCTGAATTTTAGATTGTAGACACTCATAGTAAATTCTTACCAAATTAGTTAACATTATCTTTTCTGCAAGAAACTTTCTTTTTGTATAAAAATATGAAACTCAGGCAATTTGGCTGGGCGCGGTGGCTCATGCCTGTAATCCCAGCACTTTGGGAGGCCGAAGCAGGCGGATCGCGAGGTCAGGAAGTAGACACCATCCTGGCCAACATGGTGAAACCCCATCTCTCCTAAAATACAAAAAAAAAAAAAAAAAAAAAAAAAAAGAAAGAGAGAGAGAGAAGAAAAGAAAGAAAGAAAGAAAGAAAGAAAGAAAGAAGAAAGAAAGAAGAAGAAAGAAAGAAAGAAAGAAAGAAAGAAAGAAAGAAAGAAAGAAAGAAAGAGAAAGAAAAAAAGAAAGAGGAAAACTCAGGCAATTAAATTGTTAATGAAATTGTCTAAAATATTTCCAGATAACTATATATTGTACACATATATAGGATGTTTTGAAATTAGAAGTTTAACAACAGAAGATTATTTAATAAATGCTATGTTAATTTTTAGTTACACACACTTGAGAGGATTTCTTGTCAGTCAGCTAAGTCCTAACTTTTCATAAGAATAATGTTAAGCTTACAAAGTATATTTTGGTCTATTATAAAAAATACATTTTCTTGTCCTTCATATTATGTATAAAATAATTGTATATAATGTATTATTTACATTTTCTTGTCACTTTTCTTTAAACATTGTCATTTTTCAGTCATTTATAATATAAAATAACCTAAAGCAATTTCCTAAATATTGTTATGAATCACAGATGAAATTGTGGACCAAAATGCTCTCCTTAAACTAAGTATTTTCTAAGGTATAAATGTAAGTGGTGTGTCCCCTTTTTCCCTCAGTAATTCATAATACAAATTATTGTTCTGTCCCTGAACCCAGACATAGCTTCCAGGGCTGCTGAGTGGATTTCACCAGGCAGTCACTATTCATTTCTTGAGTGCACATGTGAAATAAGATTTATTTGCCATCCCTATAGTGAATGGTACAGAAAAGATAAAAATATTATGTTAGTAATTTGCTCTAGGACATCATAGTTATATAAAGGTAAACTGGGAAGGTGAGAAGGGAAAAATTCAGTACTGCTGGCTATTTACGTTTTATGTCCTACCTTTTTAAAGAATGTGTGTTTGAATAAGCATTTTTCAAACTTTTAGTTTTATTTTATAAGGAGCCTTTAAATATTGAAATTTCTATTTCACCTCCCCTCTCAAGACATCCTCTATCTTCCCTTTTCCTGTTTTCAGCTATTATAATCTTAAACCTCAGACAGCTAATACTATATTTTATCCTCGCAAAACGTAAAAAATGACTTCATGTATTCAACTGCAAACAGAATCCCTTTGATTTGAAGAAACCTACTGTTTCCTTTCCTCATGCAGTCAATTGAAAATTTTAAGTTGTTTTGCTTTCTCACAGGATTCCTGGTAGCACTGCTAGCTATGTGGTCCTTTGCCACTACAATAAAAGGGTTTCAAAGGGAAAATTAATAGACTTTCCTAATGTGTGAAATAAAAGCAAGAAAATGAGAAGACTTGAAATGAAAAATTTCAAAGTCTGATTGTGTCTCAAAATAAAATGAGGAGACAAATTGGAAATAAGCAAAACAAGAGAAAATAATGAGAGGAGGAAAGATGAATATTAACTTGAAGGGAAAAATAAATTAAAAAAACAGTCAACAGATAAAAAAACAACAAAGATCAGCATGAATTAGTCATATATATTAAACATAAAATATTTAATAACTGGAATCAACTCATCTCCATCAGGAGACTGTGAACCCCTAATAAACACAGCAAAAAAAAAGACAGTGACATTTTCTGATGCTGACATTTGAGATTGATGGTAGGTAAAGATAGACTCGAAGAGGCTTAGAGGAAGAGTTTGATGATAGTTCAGTTAGACAGACCTGTAGAGGCTTAGAGAAAGAGTTTAAGTATGAGTTTGAGTATTGGTAGGGGAAAAGTAAAGTGATTTCCAAACTTAGCCTCCTCTTATCCTAGAAATACAGCAAATATTCATAAAAATAAGTATTTTCAAAGAAAATTAACTTTGAGTATAAGCTGATGGCTACTGTTTATTGTATCACCAAAATACAGGCAGGAATAACCACCCATAATTGAATACAGATACATTTCCACCTTCTGAGTGAAGGAAGTCACAGGTAAAGCCTTTAGCACAGTGCAACAACATGACCAATCACATAGCACAAAAAATATTAAAAATAGAATTTGTGCTGCCTTAACTTTATGATTAGTTGTGTCTATTATTGACATGAAATGTATTAATTCTGTATCAATCCTGTAGATGCACCTATAAATTATGGGATTTTTTATTCCCTATTAAGATGGAAATAGTTGATTATAAAGTTGTGAAAATTCTGGATCTTGTGGAGTCTGCCTTTAATAATTTTGTAAAAAAAAAAAGTAGTTAGACAAAAAATAAGTTGAGGCAAGAATGGTGTATTAATCTGTTTTTACGCTGCTGATAAAGACAGCAGACACTGGACAATTTACACAAGAAAGAGGTTTAATTGGATTTACAGTCCATGTGACTGGGGAAGCCTCAGGATCACGGCAGAAGGCAAGGAGGAGCAAGTCACATCTTACGTGGATGGTGGCAGGCAAAGAAAGAGAGTTTGTGCAGGGGAATTCCTCTTTATGAAACCATCAGAGCTCATGAGACTCATTCACTATCATGAGAACAGCATAGGAAAATCCCACCCCCATAGTTCAATCACCTCCCCAACTTGGTCCCTCCCACAGTGCATGGGAATTCAAGATGGAGATTTGGGTGGGGGCACAGCCAAACCATATCGTTCCACCCTGGCCCCTCTCTTGTCCTCACATTTCAAAGCCAATCATGCCATCCCAACAGTCTCCCAAAGTCTTAACTCATTTCAGCATTAATGCAAAAGTCCGGGTCCAAAGTCCCATCTGAGACAACGCAAGTTCCTTCTGCCTATGAAACTGTAAAGTCAAAACAAGTTAGTTACTTCCTAGACACAATGGGAGTAAAGACATTGGGTAGATACAGCCATTCCAAATTGGAGAGACTGGCCAAAACAAAGGGGCTACAGTACCCATGAAAGTCCGAAATCCAGCAGGGCAGTCAAATCTTAAAAGTTCCAAAATGATCTCCTTGACTCCATGTCTCACATCCAGGTCATGCTGATGCAAGAGGTGGGTTCCCATGGTCTTGGGCAGCTCTTCCCCTATGCCTTTGCTGGGTATAGCCTCTCACTCAGTTGCTTTCATGGGGTGGCATTGAGTGTCTGAGGCTTTTCCAGGAGCATGGTACAAGATGTTGGTAGATCTACCATTCTGGGGTCTGGAGGATGGCTGTGTCCCTCCTCTCACAGCTCCACTTGGTGGTGCCCAAGTAGGGACTCTGTGGGGGTTCCAATCCCACGTTTCCCTTCTGCACTGCCCTAGCAGAAGTTCTCCATGAGGGCCTCGCTCCTGCAGCAAACTTCTGCTTGGGCATCCGGGCATTTCTATACATCTTCTGAAATCTAGGCAGAAGTTCCCAAACCTCAATTCTTGAATTCTGTGCACCCACAGGCTCAACACCACGTGGAAGCTGCCAGAGCTTGGATCTTCCACCCTCTGAAGCAACAGCCCTAGCTGTACCTTGGCCCTTTTTAGTCATGACTGGAGTGGCTGGGATGCAGGGCACCAAGTCCATAGTCTGCACATAGCATGGGGACCCTGGGCCCAGCCCAGGAAACCACATTTTCCTTTTAGGACTCCAGGCCTGTGATGGGAGGGGCTGCCATGAAGATCTCTGACATGCCCTGGATGACATGCTGAATGATTAACAGTCAGCTCCTTGTTACTTATGCAAATTTCTGCAGCCACCTCGAACTTCTCTCAGAAAATGGGAATTTTTTTTTCTATCACATTGTCGGGCTGCAAATTTTGTGAATTTTTATGCTCTGCTTCCCTTATTAAACTGAATGCCTTTAACAGCACCCAAGTCAATTCTTGAATGCTTTGCTGCTAGAAATTTCTTCGGTCAGATGCCCTAAATCATCTCTCTCACAAATCACTAGGGTGGGGCAAAATGCCACCAGTCTCTTTGCTAAAATATAACAACAGTCACCTTTGCTCCCGTTCCAAACAAGTTTCTCATTTCCATCTGAGACCACCTCAGCCTGGACCTTATTGTCCATGTTGCTATCAGGCTTTTGGTCAAAGCCATTCAACAAGTCTCTATGGAGTTCCAAACTTTTCCACAGTTTCCTGTCTTCTGAGTCCTGCAAACTGTTCCAACCTCTGCCTGTTAGCCAGTTTCAAAGTCGCTTCCACATTTTTTTGGTATCTTTTCAGCAGTGCCCCACTCTACTGGTACCAATTTACTGTATTCGTCTGTTTCCACGCTGCTGATAAAGATATACCTGAGACTGGGCAATTTACAAAAGAAAGAGGTTTAATTGGACTTACAGTTCCACATTCCTGGAGAAGCCTCACAATCATGGCAGAAGGCAAGAAAGAACAAATCACATCTTATATGGATGGCGGCAGGCAAAGAGAGAGAGAGATTGTGCAGGGGAATGCCCCTTTTTAAAACCATCAGATCTTGTGAGACTCATTCACTATCACGAGAGCAGCATGGGAAAGACTTGCACCCAAGAATCAATCACCTCCCACTGTGTCCCTCCCACAACACGTGAGAATTCAAGATGAGGATTTGGGTGGAGACACAGCCAAACCATGTCAGATGGTGATAAATATAAATAGGCAGGATTGTACTGATGGAACACATTATTATATTATGTTCTCCTTTGTTTCTCTGGTGCTGGAGATGCTCCTGTTATTCACTGGTTCTCAGAGTTCTATTTTTCCTTCAAAGATGCCTTCTGATAGAAAGGTGTGCAACATAGTTCATCCTGACAAACATAACAGAAGTGGGAAGTGATGCCATCAGCTCTCCTTGTATAAATGATGAATAGATTGCTATGCGGAAAAACACTATGAAATACAAATATAATCAGATCTTAGTGAAATAACTTTTACCTAGGGCAGCTTTAAAGATGCAGAAACTACCAACTCTGTATTAGTAAGCCAAGAAGTAAGCAATAGAGGGCAACTAAAATCAATTATTCTGCACAAATACAAATGCCCCTAATCCAAAGTTCATGGCAGTTTTTCACTTCTTACATCAGAGCCTGGAAGCATTCTTTTTGTCAAAGTTGCAGGGGTCTTCATCATATGGAAGTTATAATACTAATGAAGGTATTTCTTCCTCTGTTTCTTCTGAGTTGCTGAAGTTTATTCATGTAGTTCAGGAGTCACTGTTTTCCCTGCATGATTAATGGAGTGACCAGTAAGATATGATATGATATGATATAAAAGTTATTTTAATTGCTACCCTCATTATTAAGATCCATATAAACTATTAAACACCCAGCACCTCTGTGAAATACTTTGAACATGTGTGTCAGTGCGTGTGTGTGTATGCGTGTTTCTGGAATTTTGGATGTGTCCCTGACAGTACATCTATTGTGTTTTCTATATACTTAGACTACATATTCAGATTCAATTAGGAAAGAGAAAATAAAGGATGAATCCTACGATGGTCAATTTTATGTGTCAACTTGACTAGGCCATGGTACTCAGATATTTGGTCTAATATAATTCGAGATGTTTCTGTGAAATATTTTTTTTCTTTCATCCTTTAATGTAATCAGTGCCTATCAAATACCTAGGACTGTTAAGAAAGTATTCATTAAGCATTTGCTCCATGCCAGGCCCTATACTTTCTGTGTCTAATTCTGTGGTGAGGATGGATAGGAGTCTTGCCCTGGAGTGCAGTCACAATACAGTACCCATGTGCTATCATGGCATGCAGGAGACACACCCGAGCCTGAGTAGGTTGGTGGGTGGGACAGGGCAGGTCTCCCAAAGGAAGCAAAATCTAGCTAAATTCCAAGCTATTATTAGGAGCTAGCCACTTAAGAAAAGCATGGGGAAGTGACTTGTACTTTTATTTTTGTGTGTGTGAAATTGTCATAACACTTTAAATATATTTCTCAAGAAAATGCTCAGTGGTGCCAGGAAGAAGAGTTAAGCAGAAAGAGGCAGGAGGCATACTGGTTCCCTCATTAACACTTTTTCTTCTCAACATTTTCCAGGGCCTCACCATCACAGCCCTGAATTCTGAGCACTCTGCTGAGGTTTACCAGCCTTTTAAAGGGAAATGGGTCAAATAGGTAAATGGTCAGGCCCTTTCCCAAGGCCCAGTTGGGCTCTAAGTCTTCTGTATAGCTGCTACTTCAGTTAGCTGTTTCAGAGGGTTGTCCTTCCTGCAGGTATTTTAGCGGCAAGGAAATAATTTCCCCATTCCCTATGTCTTTACTACCCTTTCCTCCCGCTGTCAGCCAGCATACATTGTGGGAGGCCTCATTCCCTGAAGTTAGAGTGATGAGTAGGAGTCAGGCCTTGCTCTCCAGAACCTCATAGCCCAGTGCTGCCTTGCTCTTATCTCTCCTTTCCTCTCCCGGGCTGCTGCAGTCCATGATCCCAACAAGATAGTCAACTTCCTCCAGGTTATCAGGGAATATCATGTCTGGCAGAAGGTGGGCCACCAGGCAAAGCCTGAGAAGGCACAGGTAGAAGACCCATTTTATCCTCCAGCCTGAATGAATTGGTATTTTGGCAGAAAATTCACGTGAACTCAACGGACTTCTCATGCTGGTCTTCATCCTGGTTGCTATCCTCCTGCATAGGATAAAGACATTTGGCACCACTATTGTAAGTACAGCAGAGGATTTTGATGGATGGTTGAACTAGGTTGAAATTTGCCCAAGGAGACAATGATGGAATGATGTAGGAGCAGCCCCTGATGCTGGCTAAGGGTAATAGCAGGGTCCCCCCAGTACTAAATAGAACTTTTACTCCGCAGCAGGTGGGCACTCTGATTCCACTGGCACCTGCTTCGGCCACTGGCTGGATGTCTCATCCTTCATTTACTTTCTCGCCTACTTGTGTGAAGCCCAGATCATCACGCTCCAAATGTCAGCACTGCTGATATGGAGCCAGGCATGGTGGTGGGGTTGTCTTAAAAGAGGAGCCAGGCCTTGGTGTGCATCTATCCTGAGGCCCCAGAACCTGGAATGAGAGGAGCAGGCCAATGGACCATCTATTTCCTAGGTTCCCCATGAGGGGCCAGAGGCCAGCCCATCCTGAGTGATTTTCCTTCTTCCCAGGGCTATGACATGTATGGCCACTGCATTTTCCTGTTCATCACCTGTAACATTCATATCCATGCCCTCTTCTACCCCTTCTGGCTGCTGGTGTGTGGGCTGCCCCTCCTGTCTGCGGCAAAATAGGTAATACATTCTGTAAAATATTTTTGAATGGAATCAACATTTAGATCAGTAGACTTTGAGTAAAGTAGATTGCCATTCATAATGCAGGTGGGCCTCATGCAATCAGTTGAAGGCCTTAAAGAAAAGACTGGCCTCCCCAGATGAAGAGGGAATGTTGCCAGCACTTCTCCTTCAGACTTGAGTTGTGTCAATTCTTTCTTCCTTGTGTCTCCAGTCTGTTGGCTTTCTCTGCAGAGTTTAGACTTGTCAGCCCTGCAATTGCCTCAATCAACTGAATCAATTCCTTAAAATATCCTGCTCCACACACTCCACACACATACACATTCTACTGATTCTGTTTCTCTGAAGAACCCTGAATAATAGACAGCTCAAGTGTTTTCAAAATGAATTCACATTTTAACAGAGAACATTGTTATATGAGAAGGTAGCTACTTTTAAGCTTCAGAGGAATTCTTATAAAAACTAGAGGATTAATATCTAGATAACCTAATAATAGAGGCATAAAATAAAATTTCTAACACAACCCACAGCAGTCACTATTTCCTCATTAGTCTTTGTGCTAAAATGTAATCAAGTGCCAATAGCTGCATGCTGACATCAAGATAATTCCTTATAAAGATCCATTATGTTTTATACCAACAGACACTTTGGCCAAATTCTTCAATAGAAAGTGCCTTTCATGTCTTCAAATTATCACCTATGTTTGTGTTAAATATAAAGAAACTGTATGATGGGAGAAGCAAAAAAAAGCAATTGAATACAAATACAAGACTTTGTGTAGTGAGACTCAACTGTTTACACTAGTAGTTCTTAAACTTCATCACTTTTTAAATCAACGGAAAAAAAAAGGAACAACTTTTTGCCAAGTTTGCAATGTAGCAATGATGAAATAGGTCCAAGATTTAGATGAAAGTTTGGTGATAGCTTGCAATTTTCATCTTTTTCTTAAGTGAAAATAAAAATAATCTATTGCACTCTAAAATAAAAAGAATCAGGAGAAATTTTCTACATGCTGAAGCAGTAGAGATATAGAAAAGCAGAAATGCTTTCCAGAAATATTGACAAATAAATAAACAAGTGCATTTTAGTTTCAAATCAAAAGATTGTTAATATTCAATGAATGAATAGTAAGACATTTGTTAACATTTTTATTTTACCTCAACTGTAAGTTAGTGATGCAAATACTTAAAAGTTTATTATGAGGGAAACACATTTTTATAGCATGCTTTCTTTAGATATGTATTTAACAAACATAAGTTATTTTCCTACTTTTGAAAGTGTTGCAACTGAAAGAAAAGAAAAAATATCTAAACATATTATTTCTGTGAAATGTTATACTTAAATAAAATGAGACATATGCTAAATTTTGATTTACATTCAAAATTTAGGAATAGATTTTAATTATGCTTTGACGTCCTTTTGTCACAGGGAGTAGCAATGACTTTTAACTTCTTTAGTTTACAGCAACCACAGCCCCATCATTAAAAGTATTCATATGTTTTGTAAGTTAACTTGAATTTTCTAAGTATTTAAACCTCCCTTGGGAAGAAATAATTTTGTTGTTTTTTTAGTTTTTAGTTTTTCCTATGTGCTTTTCTGAAAATGTGGGTAAAATAGACAAGATAGTTTGAGCAACAACCTACTTTCTTATGTCTCAGCATCAAAGGCCAGAGTGTTTCCTACTTCTAAGAATAGTACTGGAGATTCACTAAGTTTGTTTTAAAGGCTATCTGAACATACGTAATCTCTAGGGCATCACTTTCCAGAACCTTCACTTCAATATGCACTCTTTCCTAAAACTGGCCTGGTGAAAAACATGAATGTCATGGAAATGTTATGGCTGTTTCCTTTTGCACTTGTCTTTTCCCTTTTATTTCCACTTAAAAACAATAAGATGTAATTCACCTTGGTGGGTTATCCTACAGAGGGGTCAAAAAAAGATATAATATTAGCGTCAGGGTACACTCCTTATTCAAGGTATAAATTACCCATTGGAAGAATATTTGTCTTCCCCATATGATACAAATTTTTGTTTAGTTAGGTGAAAGAAGCACATTAACCGACCAATGCTGAGATATTCTGCATTCATCTTGTTGAATGGAGCAGAAATTCTGAAGATTATCTTTTAATGATCTTGTCATGGCCATCTCCTTACTGTTGTCAAAGTGAAACAGGCCCAATTGTCCTGTAGGGAGTTGTTTTTTGGATCAACGTAGACATTAACCATTCTGCTATTAAAGCTTGAAACTTGTGTATGTTTTATGTGAGTTCCTTCGGCAGGAAAGGACCTTCAGGCCTCTAAATAAAAGTATCAAAGAGCTAAAACTCACCAGATCACCACATCCTGACAATGAGATGCCTGACCCCTCATTCATCATGATTGCTTCTGTGCCCCTCCTTAGTTCCTGTTTTCTTACACATTGTTACATTTCTTCCCTGCTATATAAACCCCTGGTTGCAATCCATCAGGGAGATGGATTTGAGACTGAGCTCGCATATCCTCGGCTGCAGCACCGGATTAAAACCTTCTTCCTTGGCAATACTTGTCATCTCAGTGATTGGCTTTCTGTGCAGTGAGTTGCAGGACCTAGACCAAACCCCTGGTGTTTCAGTAACAAAAAAATGCATTTTTAAGAGAGTGAGTCCTACAGAAATCATTAAAAAACCTATATAAAATCATAAAGAGAATGATATCTTGTTTGGTCCATGTGACTTAATCATGGCAAACATCTGTGCCTTTTCTAGCTGTTCCATAAGTTAAAATTAAGAAGAAAAATGTGTAACCTAGGGAGTTGACATCAAACCTTTATTCAAATTTTTTTTAAGTCAGAATTTTTCTTACAGAGGGTTGATCTGATTTAACAATCTCAGTAGACAATGAGTTTGGCTTTCTCAATTTGATTGTGTGTTGGATATTTCTGTCTATTGAATGAACAAATTATGCTACTACACAGTTTTGATAAAAATGTATTTATAACATATAAGATCAAATCATTTTATTTTAAAAAGTTACTAAAATATATTTGAAATTAATGATATCTAAATATTTCAATCCTTTTAGATGCCTCTCTATAAAAAGTAAAAGATAAAGTGATATATTATGAGAAGACTCTCTATAAAAAGTTAAAGGCAGGCCAGGCAGGGGCTCATGACTGTAAACCAAAATTGGGAGGCCAAGGCAGGCAGATTGCTGGAACCCAGGAATTGGAGACCAGCCTGGGCAACATGGCGAAACCTCACCTCTACAAAAAAAAAATACAAAAATTAGCTGGGTGTAGTGGTGCATGCCTGTGTCCCAGCTACTCAATGGTTTGAGGTGGGATGAACACTTGAGCCCAAGAAGTCAAGGCACAGTGAGCTGTGATTGCATTGCTGCACCCCAGCCTGGATATATAGTGAGACCCTGTCTCAAAAAAGAAAAAAGAAAAAAAAAACACAGAGGGATATTAAAGGCAATTATAAAACTTTAATTAAAATTTCACTAAAACTATCTACTGAGAAAGAATAACTTTCAAAAATCAGTTGGCTTTCATCACTCTAGCTTCAAAATCGTGAAAAAAACTATTGAGTTTTCCAGTGACTGCTTATTATTATTTTCATTTAGGTAATATTTACTGTGCCAGTACTCACAAAGAACCCATAGAGAGAATATTTGAATAATACTGCCACAGTATTACTTTATATATTTAGTAACTATAAAAATGTATTTTTTAATCAATTGTGTCCTACTAAAGAATATAATGAATCAATTAAAAATTAAAGAGTTCAATGTTCAAACACAAAAAAAATTAGTATTTTGAAACTTGGCAAGATGGCCTAATAGGAACAGCTCCAGTCTGCAGGTCACAGTGAGACTAACACAGAAGGTGGGTGATTTTTGCATTTCCAACTGAGGTACTCAGTTCTTCTCACTGGGACTGGTTAGACAGTGGGTGCAGCCCATGGAGGGCAAGCAGAAGCAGGGTGGGGTGTTGCCTCACCCAGGAAGCACAAGCAGTCTAGCCAAGGGAAGCCATGAGGGACTTTGCTGTGAGGGACAGTGCTACCTGGCCCAGATACTATGCTTTTCCCACAGTTTTTGCAACCAATAGACCAGGAGAGTCCCTTGTGTACATACAACATCAGGGCCCTGGGTTTTAAGCACAAAGCTGAGAGACCATATGGGCAGACACCAAGCTAGCTGCAGGAGTATTTTTTTGTACCCTGGTGGTGACTGGAACCCCCATGAAAAAGAACCATTCACTCCCCTGGAAAGAAGGCTAAAGCCAGGGAGCCAAGTGGTCTTGCTCAGTGGGTACCACCCCCATGGAGACCAGCAAGCTAAGATCCACTGGCTTGAAATTCTCACTGCCAACACAGCAGTCTGAAATCTACCTGGGATGCTTGAATTTGGTGGGAGGAGGAGCGTCTGCCATTGCTGAGGCTTGAGTAGGTGGTTTTCCCCCACCTCACAGTTTAAACAAAGCTGCAGGGAAGTTTGGACCGCAAAGCCGCTGTAGTCAGACTGCCTCTCTAGATTCCTCCTCTCTGGGCAGGGCATCTCTGAAAGAAAGGCAGCAGCCCCAGTCAGGGGCTTATAGATAAAACTCCCATGTCCCTGAGACAGAGCACCTGGGGGAAGGGGTGGCTGTGGGCACAGCTTCAGCAGACTTAAACTTTCCTGCCTGCTGGCTCTGAAGAGAGCAGTGGATCTCCCAGCATAGGGCTCGAGCTCTGCTAATGGACAGAATACCTCCTCAAGTGGTTTCCTGACCCTTGTGCCTCCTGACTGAGAGACACCTCCCAGCAGGAGCCAACAGACACTTCATACAGGAGAGCTCTGGCTGGCATCCATCAGGTGGCCCTCTTGGATGAAGCCTCCAGAGGAAGAAGCAGGCAGCAATCTTTGCTGTTCTGCAGCCTCCGCTGGTGATACCTAGGCAAAGAGGATCTGGAGTGGACCTACAGTAAACCCCAACAGACCTGCAGAAGAGGATTCTGACTGTTAGAAGGAAAACTAACAAACAGAAAGCAATAACATGAACATCAACAAAAAGGACACCCACACAAAAACCCCATTCAAAGGTCATCAGCATCAAAGACCAAAGGTAGATAAATCCAAGAAGATGAAAAAAAAAAAAGCAGCACAAAAATGCTGAAAATTCCCAAAGCCAGAATGCCTCTTCTCCTCCAAAGGAGCACAACTCCTCGCCAGCAAGGGAATAAAACTGGATGGATAATGAGTTCAATGAATTGACACAAGTAGGCTTCAGAAGGCAGGTAACAACAAACTCCTCTGAGCTAAAGGAGCATGTTCTATCCCAATGCAAGGAAGCTAAGAACCTTGAAAAAAGGTTAGACAAATTGCTAACTAGAACAACCAGTTTAGAAAAGAGCATAAATGACCTAGACGGAGCTGAAAAACACAGCATGAGAACTTCGTGAAGCATACACAAGTAACAATAGCCAAATCAATCAAGCAGAAGGGATGTCAAAGATTGAAGATCAACTTAATGAAATAAAGCATGAAGACAAGATTAGAGAAAAAAGAATGAAAAGGAATGAACAAAGTCTCTAAGAAATATGGGACTATGTGGAAAGACCAAACCTACGATTGATTGGTGTACCTGAAAGTGACAGATGGGGGACAAGGGGAGGGATAGCATTAGGAGAAATATCTGATGTAGATGATGGGTTTATGGGTGCAGCAAACCACCATGGCAGATGTATACCTATGTAATAAACCTGCACATTTTGCACATGTATCCCAGAACTTATAGTATAATAAAAAAATTAGTATTTTAAATATATATATAAAAATATATATATATGTGTTAACAGTTAAATATGTTTGAGCATAATACAAATGCTGACAATTAAATGTATATTTTATTACTATTTACAATTGTATTGATGTTCAGTAATAAAATACAAGTTAAAAGATAAATTAAAATTTCTGAAGTGAAAGAAAAGACTATTCAGTTGTTAAGTGTGTAATAGTGGATATCATACCACAAGGTATTGCACTGGGTACCTTCTAAAGAGTTGTTTTAAACTGCCGATATTAACCATATACTCCATGTCAAATAATTTGCACTATTTTTAATGTATCTGAGAAGGAAAAAACAAAACGGTGGCATGTTATCACACGATTCCTTGGTCCAATATAGTAGCCACTAGCCACATATGACTGTTTAAATTAAATCTAAATTTAATTAAGTTGAAATTAAGTCCTCAGTCACACCAGCCACATTTCAAGCAACTGATAGTCACATGTGGCAAATGGCTACCATATTGGACAAAGCAGATATACAAAATTTCTATCATTACATAAAGTTCTATTAAACAGATCTGTCATAGAACATTGTATTCATTTCAACATTAAAGTCTCTAGATATTATATGAAACTAGTTTTTCCACTGGATTTTTCTACAAAAAAAAAGCACGTATCCTTTCTTTCCTTTCCTGTCACCCATGAGGAGGCCAAAATATGCATAGAATTTTTGGAATTCAAATATTTAAGGAAAATTTCTTTTTGCACCTCAAAACTAAAATTGTTTACAGCATTTTAATTAAAACTTATAAGTAGTTTTTGTAATTTTTGATATACCTATCACTGCTTACATCACAACTAACTTATGGTTTATCTTAGTTTCAAGAGATGACCCACACTGATATCCACAGAGTGACCTGCCAGAAGGGATTACTTCTCTTTCTCTTTTGTATTGACCTACAGTGCTTACTAGGTATATAATATGGAAAAATAGAAGTAGAATTTGTTTTAAGCTACCCCTTGCTATTACATTCTCTAGCAAAGAAATTACAAAGGCAGAACAATTCCTTGTGTTTCAGGACAAAAGCTAATCACTAATGCAATTATAAAAAGATATTACCCCCTTATATAGAAGTATACAATTAGGAACATTGAGAGTTTAGTAATATACTGGTGACATTTGTGATATGAAAGGGAAATATGATTTTTTTTAAAAATCTGCTACTATATTAGAACTGCTATAAAATTGTCACAGTATATTTATAGTTAATAATTCAAGTCACATAAAAATATAGTCAGATTTTTATAGTATAGCTATAGAGGCATTAGCTTCATGTTTCTTTATTTCACCAAGCCTCAGTAAAAATGAGTTTCTTTGAAGTATAAGGAGAAATCTAAGTTAATTTTAATGAAAATATCTGAAAAATTTTATGCTTTTTTTGTGATGTTTATGTGTCCTTTGTTTACTGTCATTGTGCTTTACAGTCCATAAAAGTAATCAATCTTTATTCTGTCACTCAGTTAATGTTTCTTAAGTTAACATTTATATCAGAACAGTTTTAGATTCACAAAAATATTACAAAGATGCTACAAGACAGTTCCCATATACCACACACCCAGTTCACCCTATTTATTAACATCTTACATTAATATTGACATTTGTTAGAATTAATGAACCAATATTAACTCATTGTTATTAATCCAAGTCTTAATTTATTTAGATTTTCCCAGTTTTTAACAAAAGTTATTTTTCTATCTCAGCATCCCATTCAGATCACTACATTATATTCAATTGTCATGTCTCCTTAAGATATTCTTTGCCATGATAGTTTCTAAGTCTGGCCTTGTTTCTGATGGCCTTGACAGTTTTGCAGAGTATTTGTCATTTGTTTTGTAGAATTTCCCTTAATTGTTTTTTGTCCAATGTTCCTCATAAGATTAAACTGGGGTTATGTGGTTTTAGGGGAAAGACTACAGAGGTAAAGTGTCATTTTTATCACATGATATTAAGGGTATATACTGTAAATCTGATTTATCTCCATTGATGTTGACCTTGATCACCTAGCTGATGTAGTGTTGACTCCCATTACTCTTTTAAACATAAAGAAAAGTAGGTGCCAATTGCATAAACTTACCTTAAGTACGCAAATAAAAACTAAATGTCAAGATAATTTGAAGGTACAATGATTTTTTCAAATGGTATATTATTTAGACTTAATTAATTGGTAAAAAGCAAATAAAGAAATACTTAAGCAACACACTAGTAACATATATTTTTAGCGAATCTAGATTACAGAGAGCCAATTTTATAATTTCCACATACGAAGAGGTAGATGATTTCTATTCATTAGAAATTTAAAACAAAAAAAAATACAAATAAAGAAATCTCAAGTCAGACCAGTCCCTTTTTGGCTATACAGCCCTTGCAACCCCGTAGCTGTGCTATTGGGCTTGTGTTACTGGAGAAGAGGAGACCCCTGCCCAGCTGTTGTTGTGTGTCTAATCAGTTTATTTTTAAATATATTAATCAAAATTTTTCATCAAAGAAATTACTAAGTCATATAAATGACTAACATAGATATCATACATACATTTCATATATAATGTCAACATACCTTGAGACCATTATCAGTCGGTTTTTAAATCACCTTTCAGAAAAACATCTTGGACATATACAAACAAAATTTATTTCTAGTTATGGATCTATCTGTGACTTGGCACAGGTAAATAACAAGACATAATGTGCTCTAACACTAATTTATAATCAATAGGTGCTAAAATATTAAATCATAAATATGGCTTACCAATATTTACTCCAAGTGATATTTTCACTGATATAATGATAACATGTTTATATTTTCACTAAAGAAATGCCTCCCTGTGCCACCCCCCAACCACAATCATTCATATATGATTCCAGCTCTACCTTTGCTTAAATTTACCGCAATCGCGATCCTAGACAAATTAAATCTTCATAAAAATTTTGTGGGTTCATATCCTGTGGCACATTGTATATATGTTAAATAATTTCCTGTTAGAAAAAATCTGCAAAGTTGTCACACTTAAATTTACTGCAGCAACAATTATAGCCCTTCAGGGTTATGATAGAGTGAAAGTAAATACTGAGGCTGCTTCAGGCAATCTAGAAGTTCTGGTGTCAGAAATCTTTTGTTAGTAGGCAAATCTTGGATGCCTTCCAGGTAACTAGGCTAAACATTTCTAAACAATACTGCACCGTTGATCCCAAACCATTTTTTACTTCCATTTTGCTGTAATTATGGCCAGAGCCAGAGTGAAATATGACTGTCTTGAGAATGTGTCATTAGCAGGCATGGAAATTTTGTCCAGAAATGTTGGTTGAACACAGTCAGTGCAGTAATTTGAAATTACTGTTTCACATATCATATATCAAAATAAATGAGTTAGCATGGTTAAAATAACAGTGCCCATATTTAAGTGTTCTGATTCATTTTTTTCTTATTTTTCAAGGAGGCATATTTCTTGTTATGTCACACAGCAAGTTTTAAAATATTCTGTATCTTAGAAACTGACTAGTTCAGTTAGTTTTCATTAGTCCTACTCAAGAAAGTCATTAATTGTATGGAAAATACTCTTTGCCTTGTCAGAATATAACTGTTATTGATAACTATGAGATTATACATAATGGATAAACATCTGCTCAATAAAACATAATGATGTATACACAAAAATTATGCAATTAAAATTATATGGTGTAAAGTTTAGATTCTGAATTGTCAGCAACATGCAACAAGTAGTCCCAAAAGAAGGTATTCATTCAATTTATCTTTGAAACTCTAAAGACTAGTATAGTAGCAACTCTAAAAATAATGGTTGTTAAATAATTGAAAGAACCATATTATTTAGTTTTTTTAATAAAATGCTAGGTGCAAGTAGGATACCTATATGTTTATCTATCCATGTAAATTTAATCAGCCTATCAGCAAATATTTTTAAGGTATTAACTTTATGTTAACATGAATGTTAGAACTCCTGTAATGGATAAAGCTAATGTTTCATATGTCAGTTTTTAAGTGAACAAACAGGGTGTAAAATCAGAAGAGGTTGTAAAAAATAGAATTACAGGACACAACCAAGTTTAAGGAGAAAAACATAATGTTACAGCATTAGGCAGAGTATAAAGTGGGATCATTTCTCAAGGTACTTGAAGTGAAAATGTGGCAGTAGGAAAAACAATTAGTCTATCTATGCTGGTTTTAGAATATATCATCAGTTAAGACAAAGAAAAAAACACTGCAATGAATTGCTTCCTTAAGTAGAAATGCGCAAGTTGCTTGTTAATTTCAAAAGAGTTTTTGTTTGAAAATATTTTTGTAAAATGGGCATTGAATGAGTTTATTTAGGAACCGAAAATATGTACATTTAAATTTGAAAATTATCTAGAAATATTTATATTTTCACTTGGCAAGTAACTCACAAATTCTTATATATGTGTTAAAATTTTTGACAACTTTTTGAGATACAGTAAATTGATATACAATGCAGTACTTTTATTATTCATAATTTGACAACTTTGAAATATGAACACATCCCTGAAACAATAACTACAATCAAGAGGGTCAACTTATCTTTCACCCCTAAAAAACTTACTCATGTCTCTATAAAATCTGTTTTGTCTTGAAACTCTCTTCTTCTCCTTCTCCAGGCAATCATGGCTGTACCTTATTTGATTATACATTAAGTATTCTTTTCTGAAGTTTTAAATCAGTGGAATCATAGAGGATGACACATTTGTGTAAATTTTTTTTACACAATTATTTGAGTATCATCTATGTTGTATGCATCAATAGTTCACTCATTTTTTATTGGTTAGTAGTATTCTACCCTATCAATATATCACGATTTGTTTATCCATTTCCCTAGTGGGGAAGTCTGAGCTGTTTTTGGTTTTGGGCTATTTCACTTATAGCCCCTAACACTCATGTATAAGCCTCTGTATGGACATTTTCTTTCTTTTTTTCTGGGTAAATACCTAGGAGTGAAATTTAATATTATTATGTAATAGGTGTATGTTTAATATTTTAGAAAAATGTCAAATGTTTTCCAAAGTTAAAATTTTGAATTTATATTTGAATCAGCAAGGTGTGAGACTACCAGTTTCCCACATTCTCATCAACACTTAGTATGGGTAAGCTTTGTTTTTGTTTTATTTAGTTTATTTTTAATCTTATTTATTCTAATGGGTATATAATGCTATTTCATTACATATTTAATTTTCATTTTTCTAATGACTGCTTAATATTGGACTCTTCATATACTTGTTTACTATCCATATATCTTCTCTGATGAAGTTTTTGTTCAAATCTTGTACCTATTTTTTATTGGTTTATTTGTTTTCATGTTACTGAGTTTTGAGAGTTGTTTATATTTTTCTAAATACGAGTATTTTATCAGACATGTTTTGTAATTGTCCATGTATGGGCATTTTACATAATTTGTTAAATTTATCCATAAATAGATAGAATTTTAAAGTTATTTTAGGCCAGATGTGGTGACTTGCACCTCTAATCCCAGGACTTTGGAAGGCTGAGGCGGGTTGATTGCTTGAGCCCAAGAGTTCAAGACCAGCCTGGGCCACATAGACAGACTTCACCTCTGCTAAAAATAAAAATTAAAAAAATGAACAAGTTGTGGTGACACACCTGTAGTCCCAGCTACTTGGGAGACCAAAACAGGGAGTTCGAGGTTGCATTGAGCTATGAATGTGCCAGTGCATTCTAGCTTGAATGTCAGAGCAAGACTCTGTCTCAAAAAATAATAATAATAATAAATAAAATAAAAAGTTTTTAAAAAGTTATTCTAATTTCTAGTTGTTCATTGCTAGTATGTAGATATACAAAAGATTTTTTTTACTGATTTCATGTTCTACTGCCTCACTAAATTTATTTGTTGTTCTAGTAGCTTGCTTTTAAGATTCTGCTGGATTATATGCATATATAGTGATGTTGTCTGGAAATAAAGACAATATCACTGCCTTTTTTCTTATCTGGATGTGCTTTATTTATTTTTCTTGCCTGATTGCACTGCCCTACATTTTAGTAGAATGTTGAATAGAAGTTCTGTGAGGAGATATCTTTCTTGTGTTCCTGTCTCTGCTATAATTTTTATAAATGCACTTTATCAGTTGAGGCTGTTCCCTTTTATTTTTAGTTCCTGATAATTTTAATCAGGAGTGAATGTTGCATTTTTTCAAATGCTTTTTGTGATTTGATTGAGATAGTTGCTAAATGGGAATAACACTTAAAAGTCATCAATTATAATTCCCGAAGAAGAGGAGGAATGAGGAGGAGAACACGAAAAGATATTAGGATGGCTAAACTTTTCAATTTTGATTTTAAAAATTCTAAAATGGGCCAGGCGTGGTGGCTCATGCCTGTAATCCCAGCACTTCGGAGGCCGAGGTGGGTGGATCACCTGAGGTCAGGAGTTCAAGACCAGCCCGACCAACATGGCAAAACCCCATCTATACTAAAAATACAAAATTAGCCAGGCATGGTGGCACATGCCTGTAATCCCAGCTACTTAGGAGGCTGAGGCGGGAGAATCACTGGAACCCAGAAAGCGAAGGTTGCAATGAGCCAAGGTCACGCCATTGCATTCCAGCTGGGGAAACAAGAGCAACACTCCATCTCAAAAAAAAAAAAAAAAATTCTAAAACGAAAGATCCATGAATCTAAACAGACTTCAAGCACAATAAACATAAAGAAAAATATGCTAGATACATTATAATCAAATTGATTAAAACCATCGATAAAAAATGTTAAAAGCAGTCAAAAAGAGCTCATTACATAGAAAAGAACAAAGATGTGGGTGAAAGCAGATATCTCATTGAAGATAATGTAAACAAGGTGACTATGGCACAACATATTTAAATCACTAAAGAGAAAAAAATGTCAACCTTATATTCTACTCTCACTGAAAATCTTTCTTAAAAGTAAGTGAAATAGAAAACCATCAACATAGAAAAACTGAAAAGATCTGTCACCAGGAGATCTACACTATGAGAAACATTTAAGGAAATCTTTCAGGCAGAAGAAAATGACACTGGATTGAAATCTGGAGACACAAATGGAATAAACGGTAATGTAATGGGTAAATTTTTTTTAGATCTTTAAAAATGATAATTGACAATTTAAACAAATAATAACAATGAGCTGTGAGCTTTATAACATATATGTGAGTATAATGTTTCACATTAATATTATAAGGACTAGGAGAGGAGAAATGAAAATATGCCACTGAGAGGTTCTTATACTATATGTGAAGTGGAGTAATATTACTTGAAAATAGATTTTGATAAGAAACATTCATTATTTTATGATCTGAGGGCATAGAGAGTGTCTGATTTACAGTGATGAAATCCTGCATAGGTGATCATTAAACACGTAGCTACAGTGACCATTCTGAATGACACCTTGAAGAGTTGGAGGTCTATGCTACAAGATGCTGTTTATAAGTTGAAACATGAGATGATACACCATGTCATTTAACAATGTCCAGCAGGAAAGTACATAATTCATATACTGTAGAGGATAATCTATTCTGATTATCATGTGTAGGTAGCAGGCCCTCCACATGCACATAGCAGACCCATATGTGTGTGTCAGGGACTTGAGGGATTCACTGTGGTTCTTCTTGTTGCTTCCACGTCTGGTAAAACATAAGAATGGCCAGACCAGAGGGTAAAAGTACTAGGGCCTCTGGTCCCTCATGATTTGAAATCTGGATGACTCCCCCATGCAAGCTACCTAAGGAAGCTGAAACGGTGTCTGAGAGTGATACCAAAATAGTATTGATGGCAGTGGTGGCTCATCTGGAGTGGCCACTGCATTGATGCCAGCTGCAGTGGGGGAGGCGTGGCTGGGGCTACACCCTCTGCATAGCTGGTGTGAGCCAGGATCAGGCAGAAACCCCATCCCCTTCTAAGTTGGCAGGGTGGGAGCTTCACATTCCAGAGGCACAACTCCAGTCACCTAGCTGTGTGGCTGCAGATGGGGCATCTCTGCACTCTCAGAGGCCCGGGAAGCATCCCCCTGCCCCTGCAGGCTTGGAAGTGCTTGCTCCTGCTGCTTGGCCTCTCCCTGCTCCTGGCTCCCTCTCCCTGCTCCTGGCTACCTCTCCAATGTTAGAGCAAAGTTGAGGCCAAGCCTGGTGCTGTTGCAACCCAGCTCACGTGTGCATGCTTGGGGCAGCGTTGACATGACAGCCCCCTGTCACACACAAACACAAACAGGCCTCAAACATGCCCCTTGCTTGCCACGTGGTGAACCACAAGAATGAGAAAAGAGAAGGGAGAAGAGCTACAGCCCTTCAGGGAGCCTAGACCTAGGAGCTCCCCGAGCCAGGGCTGTGACACCCTTTCTGGGGCTCTGTGGTTCCTGGCGTCTCCAAGCTTCTAGGCACCACTGTGTTCCCTAGTCCCAGCTGTGGAAGCTGCTTGGGGCATGCCTGGTCCAGCTGCAGCCTTGCAGGGAGCTGGTGCCCATACTGGCACCTGGAGCAGCTTGCCCCACTGCACCTAGAGTGCTTGGCTGTGCACAGTGGCTGGACCCCATGCTCGCTCACTCACACACCTCTCTCTGCTCCACACACCTCTCTGGCTCGCCCTCGGCAGGCATGAGATTCAGGCTGGTCATGCTAGCTGAGTGCAGCCTGCCATGCTGAGTTGGCGAAATGAGCTCAGCAGGCAAAGGTCGAGCAACATCCCAAGGATCCAGTGACAGTATTCATAGAGGAGGTTGTAAAACCATTAGTTAGGGTCTCAGGACTAGCTGCAGGGTGTGGGTGATATTTATTCCACTAACTTTCCTATGTTACATTTTTTTTAGTGTGACAAGCCACTGCATTGAGTGCACTTGATTTGGGGCGTGCCCTAATTTGAGTGTAACAAGTAGTTATTTGTGTCAGATGCTTATAGTGCACTGATCCGCATATTTTCAGCCCATTACTGATTCTAGTTGCAACTGTAGTTAACAGTTCCTATGTAAACTCTCAGCATTTGAATTTAAACCCCAACACTGCTTTTAGATTTTCTGTCCTTAATTTTTGTTTTGTTTTCAAAACTACAGGAATATGTGATAGCTCAGAATGTGAGGGTTGAAAGGCTGAGGAAATTTTCATCTATTAGGGTTCAAAAGTTAAAGGCACCAACCTTCTGTCTTTTGCAAGATGAAAATGATACAAATATTGGTATGATTTTTCAGATGGATCACAGCAAGATCCAAAAGCAGTAACCAGATCATTAACTCACTTTATTAATGTTATCTCTTATTTTATCTCACTCTTATAATTCCCTCTTTCATGATTCTTAGGATCACCTTCCAAATAAACTAGCTGCATATGTCATAGGTTTACTTTTCTGGGAACCCAAACCAAGATTTCGTACACCTGAGGTGACCCCAGTTTTTCCTAGTGTAAGCAATTCTATTAAACATTTTAGTTCAATATCTTCTTCCCATTCATACTCTGTATTTCATTATTTCCTAAGAATATTCATTGGAGCCATGGGATCCAAAATATAATTATTTGCAAGTTTCTGATCATGGACTAACAAATTGCTGCTCAAAACATGTACCAATTTACATAGCTACCAGTGGTGTATGCAGCTAGTTCCTAATTGAAAATATTTCCTTTGCTTGATAAGGTAAAAGCATTTTAAAACCAAAATATTTTGATTGAGAAAAGTACTCAACCTTGATACAAATTTGCATGATTTTGGCCAAACCGAGAAAAAAGTTTACATGTCACATATAATAGTTTGTTCTATTTTGTATTTCGAACATATGGCTTGTTTATACCCAATACTCTTGACAAATATATTTTCATCTCTTATTTAATTAAGCACAAATCTAGAAAACACTGAATAGGATAGTTACTATAACTAGGGGATAATCAGTTCTGACTATTGGATGTAGCCAACATTACTGCTTTATACTTGGGATGACATAATTTATTTTAAAATTTATATTTTTTCTGTTTAATTAATGAAGAGGTTTTTCTTTTAGTGGGAATTTTTTCTAGATTATTTCAAATATGTAAACCTGAAAAAATGAAGAACATATATTGTCATTTAAAATGATTAAAAATTATTGTAGTGATATATGTATTAGACAATGATACACATGGCTAATAAAGCAATCCATTGAAATGATATTTTATTGGTTTATAGAAATGTGAACTGTCATATGCCAGTTCTTGTATGCCAGTAATGGGCACCCTCCCATGATAAAAGAATATTTATGTTTGATCTGTACTTTGAAGTTGTCTTGTTATAACTGGTACAGATATCCTTTCCAAAATAAATATATATTCACTCTGTGTTCTTATTACATTTATTGGTAGTTCTATTTTGCCATTATTTTAGATGTGTACAGTTTTTCTTTTTAGCGATGGTAAGTACTTTGAGGGGGTTGTGTATTGGGAACATTCTAATCCAGTATATAATAAAAATAATGTGCATTGAAATTAAAAAAACATATTAGTCAAATTTTCTCAAACAAAATAGTTTATCTTTAAAATGATTTTACCACTTGAAGTAACACAAAATGCTTGTAAAAAATAGCAAACTTTTTCTATTAAGAGGTTCAAAAGTCGAAATTTCTATCCAACATATTCTTAAAAGTCTGTATATAATTAAATGTTCTATTGACTCCTGAGTTATTATCTTCCGATAATAAACTTTTAAATTGCGTAAAAACTGAAACCATTTCTTCTAACAAATTACATTTTCTGATCTAGAAATCCCAAAGTTAACTCACCTAAAAACTAATTAGTTGAGATAATATATAGTTTTAGTGTACATCTGTGATGAGAAGACTCAAAGGCTACTGGTTCATACTTTAAATCAGTAAAATAAAAGCTTTTCTTTTTTTTCTAGAAAATAAAATTTGCATTTTTATATCTAATTGAATGTGATGATAACCAATGGTGAGTTTTTAACAATTAATAACTATGTATTATTAAATTTTGATATTATTGAATTAATTAACAAATTTTATTATTAATAATTAATTATCATATTATTAACAAAGTTAATGAGGGTGTTAATTACTGTTTAAAAGTAGTTCAATGTTCTTTTCTTGAATTCATAACAATATGTCTAAAAACACTTATTTGGGTGGTTACAAATATTAATACCAAGAATGTTATAATTTGCTACAATTGGACCACTAATTTAATATAAAATTAAATAATTTAAATTTAAATTAAATTAAATTAACAGAATAAAATTAGAACTCCTCTTTATATGGTATTTACATATAAATATGTGTGTTGGACTTTTTTATTTGTTGTGATTTTTATATTAACTCCATGCTGCAATTGAACACTTTTTAAAATATAACAAAAATAAGAGAAAATATGATAATCTGGTGGTATTTCTATCTCTAATTTCAAGCAACATGACGATGCATAAATACTGAATTTCAAAGTGAACCCATTTAAAGCAACTTGAAATAAACCTTATCTTAAAAGAACCTCAAATTAGTAAATTAACTTTTGAAGAGAAGTTTTAACAGACTCTAACCAGGAACATTGTGGTTAATTTCAATGAATCGAATTACCATATTAATCTGAGTAAATAGAAACTGGAAAGAGCAAAACGTTAGTTTGGTCTGAGATATTTCACCCTTAACTCTTCAGTATCTTATTGAAAAAAAAAACAAGTAGAAATGTATTCGAAAATTAGATAACACATATGTGATAAATTATTTATTATTAATTTGCAGCAGATGAAACCACATAAGCATCTGTTCAGAAAACAGATAACTAATTTGGACATGTGCCTTAGAAATGCTTGAGTTGGTTTGAGCCTTAGAGCAAGGGAAGAAAATTGAAGCCATTTCTGCTACCAAATTACATTATCTGATCTAGAAATACCAAAGTTATCTTTCAGTATTTTGAAATGAATATTTTGAAGAAAATGGCAGCTATCCCATTTCCAATCAGTATGCAATTAGAATGAAATTCTGCCTTCCCTCAAGGCTATAAGATTCTGCTTTTCCTGTTGTGTGCGTATTAATGCCATTAAATAGGCGAATTACTAATTTTTCAGTAGCTTCCTGATGATTAAAAATATATTTTGTGCCTTTAATTGTTTGGAAAACCCCTTTACCAATTAGCTCTGTCTGAAAAAGAAAGCTTAGAGTTACAATATAAGTGAAATGTACAACGCCTGGCCATACATCTTATTTGCTATTCTGGTCAAGAGCGTCACAAAAATTGTGACTCTCTAATTTCCACATTGGCAAGTGCTGCACTATTTTTTTTATATATATTATTGCAGCAGTCTTGTCTAACACGAAGAAAGTCTTTGTCATCATCAGAACTACAGCCTTGACTCATCCTCCTTTTAAGTATTTTTTAATTTATGTGATGAGAATAAAACATGAAGTTCTCTACCACTCAGATAATTTACTGGATTTGCAGAGAATTCGTCTTTACTACAACTTAGTGGGATATGAATTAATTGTTACATTCTTACTGAGGAGGGAACACTAACAGAACTTATTAAACTCCTTTTCACTGACTTGTGAGTAAAAGAAATTATAGAATACATCATGAATGCATATAGATTGTTATAATTTTGTGCCTCGATTGAAGGGTTTCTTCTCCAGTAGGGACTGCTTAATTTTCTACTCAATATAAATTCTCCTTATTTCTTAAATTATCTATACTATTGGAGGTAGAAATATGACCTCCTACCCCCTCATAGAAAGACTTCACTTCTCAGGCTTCATCCCAGACAAAAATAGACAATGAGGTATAAGCAGCAGTAATTAAACTTTTACTTTTTCCTCTTCATTTATCTTTCTTGTGCAATGATATTATCACTATGAGTCACATGTTAAGGATGGTGAAGACGAAAGACAGAAGTGTGTGATATTGATGATATAAATGAGAAAAAAGTAAGCCTCTGTTTTGTTTAAACCACATTTGTTTGTCTTAGGTTTCTGTAACTAGCTTTGTATAAGTTAGTAATTCTGGTCATGGGAACACTGATACCATTTGATAAAACATAATTTGTGAATCAGTGTTTCAGCATGGTTGTGGCCAAACTGAGTGGTAAAGATAGACTAGACTGCAAAGATTACATATCAATGCCCATTATAAATTTTATTACATACTTTCATCTTCTTATTTGTTATAAAATAGCTTCACTATTGAAATTCACTTTGCATTAAAATTGAAGTCTACTTTGTGGGGCGGGGGGGTTAAACAATAATTTCCCAATTTTTCCCCCAAATTGATTCTTTATTATATACTGAAACATAAAAATAAGAGAAATATATTTCTTTGTTACTGACATCAAGTTTCTTCAGAAGCAGACATTTTGGTGTGGAGGAGGATGATTGGACAGTGTTCTTAAGATCACCACCTGTGGAGGAAAAGAGAAGGAAATAGGACTGGTCAGAGAAAGAAGTTGAGCTGTGATGCAGTCCTAATTTTAGCTTCAGTTGACCCCAGATGGAGCTCTGATGTTGAGATGGAAGTCTAGAGTGGCCTGCAATCAAGGCAAATGAGGCAGGTCCTTATTACTCTGACATTGATCAGTCTTTGGATGGGCCACCCAAGGTAAGGGGTGTGGCTTTGTGTGAGGTAGTTCTTGTCAGCTCAGGTAATTCCTGTGGATGTTGAGAGCCGGAGGCCTTGTGATAATCTCATGTCCAGCTGGGGCTACAAGTCCTCTATTTCTGAATGGGAATCTGGGTGGCACAACGCAGAATCTGAGAATATATAGTGATTTTGTTAAGGAACTTAATATCCAATGCAAAAAAGCGATACATATATATATATATATATATATATATATATATATATATATATATATATATATGCATTCTTCTAAAGACAAAGTTGGAATCAGATTATCAATTTTTAAAATTGAGAAAATGTGTAAAAGTGCTTAAATTTTTGAAAATGAATACAAATACTGTTGATTTGTTCACAGTTTTTGTGAAGCTCCTGACCAGAATAGCAAATACGATGTATGGCCAGAAAATGGATACAAATACTGTTGATCTAGAATTCAAGTGTATAAAACTTTAAACATTTAAAGCATTTAAACTAGATTGAATTTTAGGCAATCTTGTCTTAGGTGAATTCATCTTTATCTTGAGGCTTGCTGATAAAATTACGGGCAATATTTTTGCTAATTGCAAATTTCCAGGTATGTTCAACAAATTATTATTTTATCCCCAAAAAGTGAGCAAGTAGAACAAATTCTTGCTTTTGTTGAATCTCTGATTACAAAGTGTGCTGTGGTAAATCACAATAAACATAAAAGGAATGACAGAAGAATTACAAAGTCATGCTGTACTGTGTCCTTCAGCAAATTATTTATATTTTTATTTTCTCCATTTCTTACTTTTCAAAAATTGTTTCTTCATCAAAGTGGCTTAATTAATATTCTACAAGTGCTCTAGAGCCCATAGATGAAGAACACTGAGCAAAACACCATTTTGCTTTTCATCCTTGTCATTAACTATCCATTTTTCTCAATTATTTAATCAAAAAAGGAAAGATAAGTAGTATCCCATATCCCTTCTACAAAGTTAGAAAAAAATAAGCATAACAATTCTTATTCACGGGAATGTTATATTGCCAAATGCATTATTTACTGGCTAATAGATCTATGATGCATCTCATTATTCTGGCTAATAAAATTACTATAATCTTGAGCCTTAAGAATGTACAGATTGAAAGTGGTGACTCCTTAATTTTTATGTACTACTGAAAGAGAAAAATAATTAAGAAGAAAAAAAGGTAAAATATTTTTCCTTTTCAGTTTATAATGCTTATGACAAATGTCACTGTGCATTCTGATCTTAAAGATGTTAAAAGGCCATATGTTTTGTTTAGACATCTGATTGTCACAACCACCTACATATTGTTTTTAGACAGTCGTGTTTGGCAATTTTTCTTTTTTTAAGAATGGTCCAGTTAGATGATTTAACGTTAAATTTCTGTGGCAAATTGAAAACTATTTGTTTTCCCTAGCCATTTCTTTCTATTTCTGATTTAGTTGGGGCAATAGGAAAAAAAATCAGAACACTAATCTCTAAAGTGGAGAAAGGAAGACCTGAATTATATTTCACTAGTCAATCACACTCAGCAAAATTTCTTTAGCAATGCCTTACATTTTTGTATATGGAATATTCCTTAAGTATATTCAAAATTCACTACAAAAAATTAAATAAATCTATGTTCCACTTATGACTTCATTAATTAGAACTAATTATCCAGGCTAAATGAGTAACCAAAGTTTCTGTTTTATGTAATAACTTTAACTATATGGGAGGAGAGTAACAGCTTCAGCTAGTTTTTGTACTTTTTCTAAAGTATTCACCCTGTGCTTAAATCTGTATCCTGTGGAAGTTTGGCCATTTTAATCCTTTAATTGTCTTGAAACACAATGAGAAGACATTTCAAAAATATTTATTATTTAAATTTTCGTGATGGAAACTTTCAAAAACTGGCAAAAATTAAGAGAATTGTATTTGAAATATTATATACTCATCACCTAGCTTTTACAATAATCATTTCAAGATATATTTTGCTTGACCCAGATCCCAGACACTATTGATAGGGACAGGAGGCAGAGAAATTCTAGGCAGAAAAGGCAGGGTCCCTGTTGGAGTCCCACCTTCAAGCCAAAAAGCCTGAGACCACTGCCCAAAGTGAAAACTTATATCCCTGCTTTCCTGCTCAAATGTTGCCTTTTCCTAACCACTCATGACCCCATCCTGCCCCATCATGTGCCTATAAAGACCCCAGACTCAGCCAGCAGAGAGCAGAAGCAGCAGGATGTTGGAGACTACAGTTTGACCTTGGAGAGAAGCAGCTTGACTTAAGAGGGATGGCTTGATGGCATAACTTTAGAGAAGAATCCAGCTGGAGATGGGTGAACTTCAGAGGAGGATTACTTACCAGCCACATCTCCTTTCCAGCTCCCCTTCCCACTGAAAGCCACTTTCATTGGTGATAAAACCCCACTCATTTACCATTCTTCCATTCGTTCATTCAACCTTATTTTTCCTGGATGCCAGACAAGAGCTTGGGAGCCATGAGTGCGCATAGAAAAGGCTGTCACACTGCCCCTCTGACCTCGCTGGCAGAAGGCAACCATCTCATGCAAAAAGGCAGAAGCCCCACTGAGTTGTTAATACTTAAGCCATCCACTATGGCAAAGCTAAAAGAGCCCTGTAACATGCCCTCTGGGACTTCAAGGGTCACAGGCACCCCATGCCCCCAGATGCTGCCATGGGGCCCACATGGAATTTTTTCCTGCTGGCACCCAAAAGGACTTTCCCCGGCTCCTGTACCCACTCACCTGAGTGCTCACTTCTGCAAGGGGAGGAACGCAGCAGATCTGAGTGAGTGGAGTTCTCTCCTGCTGGCACTGAAGCAACTGGCTGGTTCCAGCGTTCATGAACTGCAGTTCTCGCCTTGTTCGCTTGTGCATTACCTTCCACGAGGAATTGAAAGCAACAGGCTGAGTAAACCAAGCACCCCTGTCATGAGTCCCATGAAGGAGTCAGGGAAATATCCTGCTTCACTATCTCATTAAATTCATTTCAATATGTATCTAAAAACAAAGAACTCTGAAAAGACAATAATCATATTTATACTATTGTATCTTTAAATTTTAACAATTACACTTTAATATCACCAATAACCTAGTCAATATTCATGTTTCCAAAACTTTATTTTTAAGAAACTACTTTTTATGCTTGAATTAAGATATAAATAAATTATCTATATTGTGATTGGCTGTTATGTTTTTTAATTCTTTTTTAAATGTATAGTTCTCTTTTGATCATTCTCTACCCCCTTGTAACTCTGACATAGAAGAAACTGCGTTGCTTGTTTTCTACAGTTCTAAATTTTGCTGATTATAGTCCAGGTCCTGAATTTCTGATTAAATGGTAGGTAGGTCTGAAAGCTTGATCAGATGTAATTATTTCATTGGTTGTGCTTGTAACTCCATAAGGTGACAAGCAGGTCTTGTTCTTTAGATAATGGTAGCTTTAATTTCTCTAACAATCTTTACAAAGAACCACAAATCATTAGGAGTTGCAAAAGTATGGCATTCTAATTCTATCATTGCTTGGCCATTTGTCCAAAATACTTCTTTAAAGAGAAACTTCCCTTCATAAACTTGCCATTAACTGAAGCTAGTAAACTAAAGTTATTCCACAGGTGGAGCTAGAGATTTTCCAACTATTTACCAATGTTAAAATGAAGATTTGATTTGGTAGCATCCTCCAAATGTGATCAGTGACATTTTCTTTGTTGTATAATTATAGATTCACACATTGAAACATTTACCACATTACAATATTTCGATTGTGCTTATCAGTGCTTAAAGTCTTTATTCTTTTCCAGTGATAGTCTATTAGTCATCAATAATTTTTCTTTCTTTCTTATATGACAAGATGTTCTATGCTTATAATTTTCTGTTCCACTCTGGAATCTGCTGTTTCTCCTTATGGTGAGAAAAGATCATTATAAATAAAAGCTTAGGTACTCATTTCTGTTCAACATTATCTACAACAAATATAAAGACACAAAATTATTTATCAGATATCCAGTGAAGGAAAGTTGGGAAGGTAAACTTCAGATAGAGAATTATCTCAGGAACTGAAGTGATGGCCCAAGACCAACAATATGAAGTTTTATTACAGATGAAAAAAAAAACTGAATTCATATCTAGGGAAATAGTCTCCACCTGGAAAAGTTCTATATCATTTCACGTCAAAAAGGCTCAGGAGGTCTATTTGACTGTTAGCTCAGAGTCATCAGTGTTATGGCTGCCAGCAAAGCCAATGGGATTGGATGCAGTGAACTCACGGCCAATGTTCAGATCAAGGGAGGTGACATTTGCACCACGCATCTGTGCTGCTCATATTGCACTTGTTAAATTTAACTTAGATTCGGATCCTAGATTAAACTATTAGTAGTTGGTTGACTGGACAGGAGTAAACAGAATGGAGAAATTGTTTACGACCATATACTTATAAAGAAAATGGCAGGAAGTAGTTCTGTTAGCCGAGGAAATACATGACCTGGAGAAGAGCCACAAACACTTCAACTATTCAGAGGCTGAATCGTTTAGGGGGACATTTCATAATTTGTGTATTCTAGAGGATAAAGTTAACATTCAAGGGTAATTGAAGGCAGATGAGGTTTTGTTTTACATAAGCCTCACATATCCATTAGAATTCTCAAAAATATAAATGAACTAACTTGGAAGTTAATTTCCTGTCACTGAAGTAATACAGAAAAATCTGATGACCAGGGATTAGAATTGTCATATAAGAGATTCCAGTAAGACACTAATTAGAAGAATCTGTTTCGATTATTAAAAAAAAAAAATCTTCACCAACTTTGCAATCTCTAAACACACTGCTCTAAGTAACTCTTTAATTATTTTAGATAAATTTAAATATAGCATATTCAGAGAAAAGTGCACAAATTGTAAAGTACAGCTTGATGAATTTTTACAAAGTGAATATAAACACATTACCACTGCCCAAATAAAAAATAAAACATTGCCAGTAATGCAGGCACCACATTTGAGATATTAATAGATGACTTACATTAACATATGTCTAAAAACTAACCACTATGTCGATTTAAATCTTTATAGGTTAGTTTTACCAATTTAAGGATTTGTACAAGTGGGATCATACAGGATATATTCTTTGAGTGTGTCTAGTTTCTTTGCAATGCATTTAGCAAAGCTTATTTGTTTTAATTGCTCAATTGTATTCCACTGTTGCTTTATGCATTCTGTATGTATGCTCAGTCTGGTTGTTTTCAGTTTGAGGCAATAATGAACAATGATAGACCAATCAATCTTGTACCTATCTTTTGGTGCACATGTGTGTATATTTCTATGGGTGTATACCTAAGGGTGGGACTATAGATAGAGTGTAAGATCAGCATTAACAAATATTGCTAAATTGTTGTTCTCAGTGGGATCATTCATTCGTCTCAAACTATTCAATATACTAGAAAGGAAAGTTGACAGCTGTCTTTATAATTATTTTTAATGTGTGTACACTTATACATTACTATCCTAGATCTGAGCAATCGAGGCTCCTTCATTGGGCCTCACCTGGACCCAGATCCAGTCACATTTGTCTCTACTGAATGAAGACTTGTCCATGAGAAACCAGAATCTCACAACTTCTGAATTTAAAGGACCTGGGAACCTGGAATTGTCTATCCAAACTGCCTTGAACCCACTTCCAGGCTTCTCTTCTCTTCTCCTAGACTTTCCAAATAAAGACCAACACACCATAATGTATACACCCCAGGACCACGGAGTGACCTTAGAAGTGGCATGAGGACTTCTATCAAATGGCTATGGATGCTCGGAATGCAGTGTCATCTGGGATATCCATAGCATGCATAAAGGTCTCTTGGGATTGAATAGATTCAGGTATGGAGAAAACAGGGGCAGGGGAAGGTACACAGGCTAAGGAGTCCATGAAATATAAATTCAGATCTGGAAAGTCAAGAACCTTATAAAGGTCTATTTTTGAAGGTAGAACATATAATATTATATTTAACATTTATAACTTCATATATATATCATAAACACTTTGATATGAGGTATATTGGTTTCTATGTATTCTCTAGTCCTGAACCCACCAAATGTTAAGTGTAGGCTGGTTATACATTTATATCACAATATATAGAAAATAATTTAAAGAAGACTATTACATAGTAACTATTAAATATCTATTCTGATATTGATATGACTATCAGGATGCACTTGTAGAGCTTAAAAAATGGAAACACGTGAGACGGATTTGAATAGATGAACTGTGTTGTGTCATTACAGTTTGGTTTTCTTTTAATTTGTCCTTTTGAATAATTTTGTATGAATGAAACAGTATGGACTTAAAGGTAAAAACAGTGATGATAAAATCAAAATTAGAAATTTAAAACTTCATGTCAGTTGATGATAGCACTCAGGGCGGGGTGGGGATGGGAATCACCTTTTAGATGTTAAGATAAAAACATATTATTTAGCCATGAACCCACTAACTATAATCTGATTCTTACTGTTCTAAATAGCAGGCTATAACTATGCTTCATATATAGGCATACACATATTTAAAAATTACTTGAACTAAACATTTAAGATCTGTGCACTTTATAGTAGGTTATGCGTCAAAAAACCTTTTGAAACTAATATTTGCTTGATTATTCAGATTATTCAGGGTTGGGTACTTTTGTGTTGTTTTCTCTTCACTGAAGGGTGTACGTTTTAAACCTAGCTAACCACATAAAGGAAGACAGAATTCTCCAAAGTTTCAACGTCTATATACTTCCCAGATAATATAAAACATTATAAGTCTTTAAATAGTTTAATTTTGTTTTGACATATTATTATACATCCATTGACCAAAGATAGTAATTAGAGTTAATTTTAGAGCAAATTTTAAACATTTGGTAGTTTTTTCATTTAAAGATATGCATGTTAATGCTCAAAACTTGAGCTATACATTTTTATGGTTTTCTGTTTTTCAAAACATGGTTAAAATAAGACAAAGTATCATATTTTGAAGAGAATGAAATATATAGAAAAAGGGTGAATATTTAATGACAAGACTGACTTAAAGCAAATTTTTAAAAAACCCATTGGAATCATTGAGTCAGCCATCTGGTTATTATAAATAAGAATTCAGAAAACGTTCCAGTCTTCAATGTCTCTCTTATAACACTGAATTTCTAAACTATATTCTTTTCACCTTCCGTATATGTCACCTACATAATTCAGCAGGTAAGTAGATTCTCACTTTCCTGTAGCCAGTACAGTGAGGTTTGAAATTTTAGCTGAAACAGCAAGCACATAATCAGGCAAAAGCAAGACTATAAAACATGGAAAAATAAGAGTCCAGAGTTTGGAAGGTTGTTATGACCATACTGGAAAATAATATATAAGGAGTTCCTATCTCATTTGGAATAGGAGACTATAGCATTGCCTTTTATATGAGTCCATTGATCCATTTGTCAAGAGAAAGGAAGTATGATACTTTTTCTAATGTAGACATATTGTGATGAGATTGACATTTAGTGACATTTAGCATCATTCATTTTACAGAGTTAATGGTCGCCTCATTTACCTGTAGTCAAATGTAGCTCTTGGCTTCTCCTCCTTTTCTTCTGTTAGTTTTTATTGCCGCACGTAAATTAGAGTTTGCATCATTATGAAAGGCTGAAATAATACTATTTTTAATTGTTCTGAATATAGATTTTAGTGCAAGCTTGTTCAAGCCATGGCCCGTGGGTTGCATATGGCTGAAGATGGCTTTGAATGTGGCCCAACATAAATTTGTAAACTTTCTTAAAACATTATACGATTTTTTTTTCAGCTCGTCAGCTCTTGTTAGTGTTAGTGTATTTTACATTTCACCCAAGACAATACTTCTTCTTCCAATGTGGCCCAGAGAAGCAAAGACAATGAACATTGAATATTCTGTTTTAATGTATATAAAAATTAAACAAGCCAAAAATTGAAAAATTTTTGTTGGCTTATGCTGGTTGCCTTTTTAGAATTCACAATTTTGAAGAGTGAACCCTATAAAAATGCAATAAAATGAACAATAAAATGATGATCAGCTGAACTATGGATTTTATTTTAATTACTATCAAAAAGCTATTATTTTGCTTATTTTTTAGCTTTATTTTAGCTTCAGGGTACATGTGCAAATTTGTTATGTAGGTAAATTATATGGCATGGGAGTTTGCATAGTACCCAACAGGTAGTTTTTTGATCCATCAACTTTCAAGTAGGCCCAAGTGTCTGTTATTCCCTTCTTGTATCCATGTGTACTCAGTGAAAAAACGGTGATTTTTAAATCTAATTTACCAATGGCAGATATGCTGGTGGGTATTCAGCAGGTTGATTTTTAAAAGATAATCATTTTAGTTTACTCTTACATTTCAACAAGTGTAAATATTTTATTGAAGGCAACATATCTGACATAATGTCTTTCATATATATCTCTTATAATTCAAATTAAGTTTTGATTATCTGATTTTATGTATAGTTTGCTTGGCTTTTCTAAGTTACTTTTCCTTGAAAATGGATAGTCAAATCTACCAATTCAGGAAGAAGCATAAATGTAAATGAATCTCTTTCTTTGATAACTTGATGTGAATGAGATTACATCACACACACACACACACACACACACACACACACACTACTCGAAAGAGATTTAATAGAAAATAACTATTAAATAGTACATTTTGTTTTTTAATTAAAAATATTACATCATCATTTGAACAAAGTTCTTATGCCTTTATAAGATTTATATTTATTCTATGTCTTATGCAGACCCCAAAAGTCTTTTCTTAGGTGAGCAATGAAAAGCTATACAATATTAAGCTGGCTTTAAAATATAGCCATATAACACATGTATACATATGTAAAAAACCTGCACGTTGTGCACATGTACCCTAGAGCTTAAAGTATAATAAATAATAAAATAAAATAAAAAAAGAGAAAATATATAGCCATATAATAGGTCAGAGATAATTAGATCAAAATCCATTTTTAAGACAACATTTATTAACATTTTAAGGTTGAGCATTATGCCCTGAATAATAAGGTAGTTGTTATTAAATTTTTAAGTTATCTTGCTATGTTTTAAGTGACATGATTTAACCTCCAATGATGAAATGAAGGTAATAATGTGTAGCTATTTTCTTGTGAAATTCCTCTGTATGTTTCCTTTAAAAAAATCAAGCAATAAATGAAATCTACAGCCATATTTAAGATTGAATGCACTTGCTCTCAAGCACACTCTATTTCTTCCTTCCATCATGCTAAAACCCAATTTTAGTTTCTCTTTTCTTGTTAGATTGTTTCAGCAAAATCATTCCTACTATTTTCTTCAATTATACGCAAACCACTCACAGCCTAAAGTCTTACTTTGGCTTCAACACCTACATATTCACCTACCTCACAAACATCTTAAACTCAGCGTATCTAAGATGCATATCTAAGACTGTAATGGCCTGAAAGTGTATATTCCCCCAAAATTCATATGTTGAAACTTTAACCCATGCTGATAATATTAGAAGCTGGAACTTTTTGAGGTGATTAGGTCATCGGGGCAAGGCTCACATGAATGAGATCAGTGCCCTTATAAAAGAGATATGAGAGAGAGTTCAAGCCCCTTCTGCTATGTGACGTTACAGTGAGAAGACTGCTGTCTATGAGAAATGGGACCTGAGCAGACATCAGATGTGCTGACGCCTTGATTTTGGAATTCCCAGTTTCCAGAAATGTAAGAATTACATTTCTGTTGTTTATAAAACACCCATTTTATTGTATTTTGTCATAGCAGTCCAAACAGCTGAATGCAAAGACTAAGCCATAGATCTCTCCCTCCACCTCTCACTGCACAAGTTGCCACCCGCCCCCCAACAACTGATATGTATGACAAGTAAAGTCCTTTCACATATCTCTAATCTTGTTCAAAGACACAATCCTCCACTCAGTTGATCAAGCAAGAAACCAAGAAGTCACACTACATAGCTCTCTTTCAGCTCCATATAACAAAACCATCACCAAATTCTAGTAATCGTAGCTCTAACTTTCTCTTTAAACTATTCATTTCTCTCTTTTCCTGTTTTCATCAATACAGCCTCAGGAAATACCATCTTTCACCTAGACTTGCAAAATAATGAATGTCCTCCTCCTATTCACTGAATTTCCTCTAATCCTTTCTTCACACTGCTTCTGGAGACATTTTCTAAAATCAAATCTGGTCATGTCACATCATGGTTCAAATTCTTCAGCAGCTTTCCATGGCTAATATAATTATGACCAAAATTAATATGACCTATAAGTCCTTTTACAATGTGATCTTTGCCTACTACAACATCTTTGTCAATCTCTGTTCCTTCCCTATCTACACACTGACCTTTTAGTCCTTCTTCCTTGCCATGCACATTTTAATCTTTACACACATCCTCTCTCTGCTTGGCATGGTCTTTTGTTTCCAGCCACCCATTAGATATGATATTCAGTGTAATTTTTGCACAGAAACCTTTCTTGATCTGTATACCTAAATCTAGTCCTACATTATTGAATCTCATAGCACCATATATCTAAAACTTAATAGCATTTGTTATAATTCCTTTCTTATATTTTTTGAATATTTAATTAATCTTTTTTTCTCCATCATATTACAAATACAGTGAGGATTGGACTATTTTTATTTTTCCTCAATAGTACGTCCCCACTTAAGGCAGCTTAAGGCTACCAAAAGTAGAAGAGACTGATAGACTTTAACTGGGACTCAGAATCATTGAAATGGCTGGGGAACTAGTACCTGGAAAAGCAAAGAGGTTGGGCAACAGAATTCACGCCCAAAGCCATTGCACAGGAATAGTCAGGTTAGGACTACACTGCTGGCTTATCTGTCCTGGACAGTCCTGATCACTCTCCAGTGTTAAGACACTTGATTACAATGTGGTGCAGGACTTGCAGCCGATGTCACTATTGGACTCTAGAAATAAAGTCTCGTGTGTACTTACAACTTTTCCTCAAGATTCAGAAACCCAGGCTGGAATATCTGATTTGCTGATTGACCATATCCTTGTTAATAAGAGACAACAAATGGAAAGATATGCCAGCTTGGCTTCCCTTGTTTAAAGCAGAGCCTTGTCCTCTAACAAACTGATACCCTCAAGTAGAAAAATTATTCAAATGCTTAGTAGCTAATAAATGCCAAATAGTCATAAGACCACAATCACTAAGACTTGAGTTTGATTCTGTGGTCTTATAGAAGCTTTAGGTCAGGTTGTGGTGGATAACACGGTAAATAAACTTGAAGGAGAGGAGTCTCTAGGCTTCCTCCTTTTATGTTTGCCACTGAAATATACGCAGTCAAGCTCATACTTTGCAATTAAAAACATTTACCCTACTTCCAAGCCAAATTCTTGTAAGACTCCAAAATAAGGTACCTCATGTCAGTTCTTCTCCATGGAGAAATACACTTTCCAAATATTGGCTAGGGACAACATGTAGATTTTCCCTACTTTTGGAACATTTGTAATGCTTTGTGAATCCAGTCTCAGCAATTCCAATCATCTTCCCTCATGTTGGGCTACCTGTACATCCACCAATCTTTCAAACCTTTGCCTTCTTCTTTATTTTAGAAGGAGGCTCTCTCTTCTAAAATGTCCTGGGTGCCAGTCTTCATGAAGTCCTTTAAGGAAATACTAAAATGTGGATAGTATTAGCCAAGATTCTCCAAAGTTCCCCAGAGAAACAGAACCAGTAGTATATATAGGAAAACATACATAAGAAGAGATTTATTATAGGAACTGGCTCATACAGTTATAAAGGCCAACTTTATGATCTGCTGTCTGCAAGTTGAAGAACCAGGAAATCCAGTGGTATAATTCAGTCTGAGTATGAAGGCCTGAGAACCAGGAGTGCTGATGTCTGAGGGAAGAAGATAGATATCTCAGCTCAAGAAGAGTTGATTTCACTCTTCCTCCTCCTTTTTGTTCCATTATGTTCCTCAGTGGATTGGATAATACCCACCAGTGTTGGTGTGGGAAATCCTCACTTAATCTACTCATTTAAATGCTAATTTCATCCACTGACACCCTTATATACACACACAGAATTATTGCTTTACCAGCTATCAGGGCAGCCCTTAGCCCAGTTAAGTTGACATATAAAATTAACCATCACATTGATATTTTATTTTTCAGGTTTTTAGCAAAGAATGACCCATGACTCAGAGCCGAGGTATATTTAGATTAGGAAAGGGAAGTTATTAGCTCTCATTCTTGGTGAAAACAGGATGCAAATTAATCAATAGGTGATATCACCCTCTTTTTCTCCCTTGTTATTATTATTATTTTTTTCACTTCTACAAACTGCAGAGCCCCTTTCTGTTGCCTGGTTAGGCAGCAGCATTGCAAGTGGCTAATGCACGATCTGGGCCCACCCTCTTCCCTGATTCTGGCCCTACTCTCTGCAGTTTAATACCCCATTCTTATACCACACAACCTAAGTTCTAGCTATAAGGAATAAAAGATAAAATATTTGAAAGCTGAAACTAATCTTCATAGTTGCATTTTAGCTTTTTCATCTTTCCATGCATTGTACTATTCACTTAGTTGCATTCTAGGATAGGATTAATTTTCCTATAGCACTTTGAAGATATCACTGTGGTATCTTCTCTTCTGAAGTTGATGGTACTCTTGTAATTGCTCCTTTGAAAGTAATGCCTCTTTTCTCCAGCTGTGTTAAAGTCTGACATTTGTTTTCAGCCATGAGGTTATTCCACAGTTGGATTTCTTCAGAATTATCATTTTGGGGCCTTTTTGAGTTTCTTCAATCTTTCTAACCAAAATATGGCATATTTACTGAGCACTTTCTTTATAATTGCCCCTAAAGCCTATATCTTTCCACCCCCAGTCTAATTAATTTATTGAAAGGTCTTGTCCATCAGTTTATTAGTACAGTTATTGGAGGAGCTGTCCTGGGTCTTGTCCCTAAAATGCTGCTTTGGCATCAGTGTTAGGATGCTATCCCAATTATTCAATTGATTATAGGTAGTGGCTTAATCCACAGCTTCCTACTCTATCATTCCTGCAACTACACATCCCTTTTCGTGTAGTTAAGGTACAACTGAGAGTATTCACATAACTTGGATGTGATATTTAAGTGATAAAGTCACAAAATGTATATTAGTTTTTTATTTTCATTTTTCAGAAGCAACTAAGCGAATAGAGGTATTATTTTACTGATGTGATGAGGACCAGGGAGGAGGACACACATGGGGGAGGAATGTTGTGGAACGTTGCACAAGCCATGTGCTCTTCTAAGTGGTGTCAATCACATGGATTATAATATGACCAGTATCATCATCTCACAATATCCATGAAATACATAATGTAGATGTCTACAGTCTAGCCTCAGACATGTTAGATTTATACATTAGTAGATATGCTCAATTATGTTTTCATGTCAATAATTCAGACTAAATATAAAGGCAGGTCATATAAATTAAAGTCAAAGGACTCTAATTAATTTTTAAAAATCTCTGAAAATCGGCTGGGCACGGTGGCTCATGTCTGTAATCCCAGCACTTTGGGAGGCCAAGGCGGGCAGATCATGAGGTCAAGAAATCAAGACCATCCTGGCCAACAACGTGAAACCCCGTCTCTACTAAAAATACAAAAAATTGGCTGGCATGGTGGCACGCACCTGTAATCCCAGCTACTCAGGAGGCTGAGGCAGGGGAATCACTTGAACCCAAGAGACAGAGGTTGCAGTGAGCCAAGATCACACCACTGTACTCCAGCCTGGGTGACAAAGGGAGACTTCATCTCAAAAAAAAAAAAAAAAAAAAAAAACACTCTGAAATTCAATATGATCAACTAGGAATAGAATATAGAGAGCATATTAAGCACATTGAGAAATTCAACATTTAAGAAGTATATAGAGAAGGAAATTCCTCTACAGTAATCCAATAGAAACAGTCATAAGGATTACAGAGGAAAAACATTTTTGGAAGGCAGTGGGAATGTAACATATTACATATGATAACCTGCCTTACAATTTGTTATAAAATACAGAAGCTATCTCAGATGCAAAAGGGTAATAAAGCCAATACTCACAGAATTGACTAAAGTTCTATAACATTCAGAATAATAAAACCTTATTTACATGTATGTTCTATTTATTTCTCAGAATTTCATATTTTTAGTGGCTATTTCAAATGGTTTTTATTTCGTTCATGCATCTTTGTGTTTACTATGCATGTAGGTATATGTGCATATAAGTATCTACCTACATGTGTATCTATCTGGATGTAAGCCAAAAATATTCTAAGGCCCCTCAACCATCTGAGTGGACTTCCTCTTTTAGGCCGGGGCCCTCTAAAATTATCCCGAAAGACTGGTTCAGGCCACGATTGGAAGAGGGGGTTGGACATGCCTCACTATGCCCTTCTCCCTTTTGGAATTCAGGAAAAGTTGACCAGCATTTAACATCAACACAGATCTTAAGTCTGATAAGCAATAGGTAGGATCTCTCTGAAATCTCCTACCTGGAGGCTCCATGTGCATGATAAAACTTTGGTCTCCACAACTTCCTATCATAACCCAAACATTTCTTTCTATTGATGATAAATCTTTCAATCAAATGCCAATCAGAAAATGTTAAATCTGCCTATAACCTAAAAGTTACCCCTGTCACTCTCCCAAACCCCCTCCACCCTTGAGTTGTCCAGCCTTTCTAGACCCAACCAATGTGTATCTTAAATGTATTTGATTGATGTTTCATGTCTGCCTAAGTTGTATAAAACCAAGCTGCTCCAGACTACCTTGGGCACATGTTTTCAGGATCTCCTGGGCTGTGCCATAGGCCGTGGTCACCCATATTTGGCTCAAAAAAAAAATCTTGAAATGGTTTACAGAGTTTCACTCTTTTCATAAACATGTAATATATTACATATGTCTCAACTTCATGTTGGTGCATAAAAATGCAATTTTTAAATCTTAATCTCATAGTGCTATATTCTTAATCTCATATTCTCATGATTTGTCAGGAAATTATTTTGGATTTCATGAATAGGTATCATATCATCAATGACCAAGGGTATTTTTTCTTTAATTCTACATATTTCTTAAAACCATTATTATTTTTCCCTGTATTTTCTAGATCTGCCAAAAAATATTAAATAGGAAAAACAGGAATCCCTATTATCCTCTTTCCTAAATTTTTTGTTTTATATATTTTTCATAACATGTTGCATTATAGATTTTTAAGGAATATCATTCAGCTGATAAAAATCATTACCTACTTCATGCAGTCAGTAAACTTTTAATTCTAATGATTTTCTTTTTTTTTTTTTTTTTTTTTTTTGAGACAGGGTCTCACTCTGGTTGCCCAGACTGGAGTGCAGTGGTGTGATCTCAGGTCACTGCAACCTCGGCCTCCTGGGCTCATGTGATTCTCCCACCTCAGCCTCCTGAGTAGCTGGGATGACAGGTGTGTGCCACCACAGCTGGCTAATTTTTTGTATTTTCATTTTGTCCAGACAGGTCCGAGCTCCTGGGCTCAAACCATCCTGCCTCGGCCTCCCAGAGTGCCCAGCCTAATTATTGTATATTATATGTTTAGAAATTCTACTTAATTCTAGTTTATATGTTTCTAACTGATTTGGATAATTTCATATTCCTTGTTTATGTTTGCAACACTGTCTTTTTTTAATCCTTATGTACTTGAAATATTATGTTACATGAAGTGTTTTATAGGATCAATATCTAAGCTCTTGTGGTTATAATGTCTCATTTATGGTGGTTTTCTTAATTTTTCATTTAAAAATTTTGGATTGTTACTGTGTGCATATATGTGTTTCTAATCTTTAAGATTTTGTCAATTTATTTTTTAAAGAAATCAGCTTGCATTCTGGCTCAGATAAATCTTGACTTACACTTCACTAAAAATGTGATTATTTATTTTATTTAGTTTGTACACTGAAAATTTACTGTAGCATTCACATTCTAATCTGATGAGGATTTAGGTGATGGAATCTAGCTTTCCTTATTTGGGATACATCCTCTTTAAGTGAATCTTGCTTTTCCAAAATTAACACATGTATGCCTATGTAAATAGAAACAAACTGCCATTATAAGCAATTCTTTAACAAGCCAAAACAGATTTAAAAAATTCAGTTCTATTCTTTGGTTTATTCAATATGACAGCAATTGTATACCCCTGCGTGCCTGAGAGAACTAACTGTGATTAGCCAGGTTACAATTTAGCTACCTGAAGAGAGGGCTTCATACGAAATCAAGGGCACAGGCTAAAAAGGTTCCTGGAAAATCGTGGAAAATATCTCTTTAAAAAGATTTGAAGACAATCAGTGACAAGCAAAGAGGGGAAGGTGACATTCTGTTAAAACTCTAAATGAGCATCTGAATTGTACTATCAAATACATTTCCTTTTTCTAATGAAATCAACCTGGATATGTCTGTGTATTATTCTTTACCATCTCTGCCTCTGACAATATTTTTCTAAAACATTTTTGTGTATTTGTATTTTTCTTAATTAGCTATAATCTAAATACATATATGTATATATTTATATATGTTTATGTTTGTGTTTCTACACACATATATACATAGACCTTTAGAATATATATACTAACATAATATATATACATATATCTAATCCTAAACACACACATACACACACACACACATCCATATGCCATCTTGTATCTAAATCATGATTCTGGCCTGTATCAATGTTTCTTCTATGGAGAAGTTATATATCTTTTTTAATTTCAAATCTCACATTTTACTGCCTTAAGATAATAACAGTGATAAGACTATTCACTATATACGGTTATTGGTAGATTTAAAGAACACAATAAAATTAATGTGTGTAGAAACACAGCCAACAATAGTAACCTACTATATCACTATAAAAATATTATTTTCCATGCCAATAGTGATAGACTGAAATGATATACAACAGGAATGCAATATGTCTAGCATTTAAGGACTAGTCCGAAGGCATGGAATGAAGTAATGACAACACTGAAAAGCTTTGAATTTCCAGTCCCCTTTTATATCACTGACCCAGGATGACATTACTCAGACATGTTTCTTGATGATTGCCTTTTAAAAAGATAGGCTGTCCTTTCCGGATGAAATTATCCCTCTTTGAAGCAATAATATGCACTTGAATGTGCAGTTAGTTAATATCAGTATGTGTTAGATCGCTAAGGTCTAGAGAAACACCCCACTGAAATCGAATAAAATCCACCTGATTTATGTGCCAGACAGTTAAATAAGACTCACAATGATTTTAGCAGCTTTACTCCTGCTCAGATTTACAGACAATTGAATTTCCACAGCAGAATCTCCTGACAATAAAATTTAGTGATAAAGTAGGAAACAATGTTAGCACTAAGGAGGATATTGTTAAGAAGAAAAGAAAAGAAATAGAAATTTGCTATGGCAGCAACAAAAAGATGTGAAATTCAGTGTGTGTAAAGTTAAGTTAGCTATCTGGGGAGATAGAAAAGGAGAGGTAACGTAAATGTTTAGGATGATATTAATCTTGCAGAAACAGAGAGTAGGAAATGACCTGGGGATATCATAGTAATTAATAGTCTGAAATTAAAAGTTCAGGATCTAGCAGGTATAATGAAGAAAAGTAAAATCCCAGAACATGTATATATTTTTAAAAAGGTAATTAAAAATCAGGTAGATAATAGACCTTGTTCACATAGCTTGTCAGTACTAATCACTATTTTAATATTAAACTAAATTATTGTTCTTCTTCCCCCTCCTCCATAAAACTAAAACCTTAAAAGATAGTGTTAAATAATCATCAGAAATGTGTAGGATAAAAATGCAACAGTGTGTTGATTGGGAGTCATTAAGAGTTATTTCTGGGATATCCTGTCATTACAAGCACTGCTTAGCTTTTAAATCCAGAGGTCGTTTTTTTGACATGCATTACAACCCTTAAATAAAATGTGCTATTATTCTAAGAGTTTAGTTACTCTATTTGAAAATTCACAAATATTTGTTATAATTTATTCTATTTGAATACCAAAAGTTGATTTTTCTTGAGCATATAGTTATGAAATTACCTTTACTAAGTAATATGGTCTTTGCTTTCTGTAGATCTGATTGATATTTTACTGATGAAACCTAAGCATATTCTAATTACTATGTGAATCTAAATACTTTCATAGATCCAAATTATAGGCTCCCTAAAACTATTACGTACTTGTGATGTGTGTATTTAACATTTAACTAAAAACTCATATTCACTTCAACAGATATTTATTAAATACATATATCAGAAACACCAAGTAAATTTGTGACAGTGCACAGATGGAAAAGATGAAGGTCTAGCTCTCCAAAGTATTACTTTGCAGGGGCTGACAGAGCCAGAAACTTAGTGCTTCCACTGGGACTCAAAACTTGGAGGGTAAAGCAAGGAAGGTAACAGGCTGTGATACTGAACTGACCTAATTTTTAAATTCCAGCTGAGCTCTTTATTGCTAGTGAGTGTGGTCAATTGATTGAAAGCTCTGAACTTCAATTTTCTCTCTTGTAATCTAGTGGTAATACCCATGTTAGGATATTAATGTCTATAAAATTTGACATATAATTGGGAGCCAATAGAGGCTTTTGGTTGTTTTGTTGTTGTTGTTGTTGTTTTGATTTTCTTTAAACTGGCCTGTATAGTTTCCATGCTTTTATTTTTTTTTTTTTTTTGCTATTTTATCTGAAGCTCTGCATTCTAAAATCAAAGCCACACAATATATTCTTCATTTAATTTTATTCCCATTTATATACTATAAAATAATCTAGTCAACATACTATCTTGTATAAAATAATTGTTGTTAATTTGAAGGATATTTATTAAATGCCAGTTACTTGGCAAAGTACCCCCAGGACTGCAATGCTGCTTACAATCTGTGGAATCAAACAGAATGCATATAAGAATAAAGAAAAATACATGATTATAATATATATAGTTTCAATATATGTGTTAAGAATACATATTATAAGAAAACAACAGAAAGACATCTTTAACTCCATTTTAGAGGCAAACATTTTAAAGAAGTAAACTGCAAACTAAACTGTGAATATTAAACGAGAAGTACTTTCAGATAAAGTAATATATATAGATGAATATTATTACACATTTTTCTGTGTTAAAACATAAAACATACTTATCATCCATTGGTTCTATGCCCTTTTTTTAAAATGATTGCTTTGTGGTAGAAGGTTTTATTTCCTGCCATTCTGTATTTGGATGTATATATTAACTACCTCCATAATGCATCTGAAGACAAATTAATTTTTTTTTTTTTGAGACAAGGTCTCACTCTGTCACCCAGGCTGGAATGCAGTGGCACTATCATTGCTCACTGTAGCCTGCAGCCTCGACCTTCTGGGCTGAAGCAATCCTCCCACCTCAGCTTCCCAAGTAGCTGCAACTACAGGCTCAAACCACCATGCCTGGCTAATTTTTGTATTTTTTGTGGAGACAGGGTTCACTATGTTGCCCAGGCTGGTCTCAAATTCCTGGGCTCAAGCAATCTTCCTGCCTCAGCCTCCCAAAGTTCTGGGATTACAGGCGTGAGCCACTGTGTCCCACTGAGTAATTAATTTTAAAATTACACTGTGATTTTGAATTTGAGAGGAATAAGAGAATTACAATAAAATGTCTATTTGTTCAATATTTCTTTGGACAAATATTAGCACTATATAACCTCTGTATTGCAGGTTTAAATATACCAGTATATTTTATCAAATGCTTGTATATAATGCATACTTTTCCTAATAAACTATCATCTTTATCTTCTATATCTCTGACTTTCAGTTGTCTCAATATTTAATCACCGTAACTTTGTTTTTTCTCCTATCCTCACAGTGATGTGTCACAAGGATGGAAACATTCATAGACATTGTGGTTATCGATAGTCACATGTTTGAAGCAATTGTGAACTGTTTTAAAAATTAAAACTACAATAGTTGTGATTCTGTACTAAACAGGCAGATTTAATTGAAAAATGCTAAAATAGCAAATTTTCCATTAAAAAGACATTTTATTTTCAGCCATTCAAAGGGTCAAGATTGTTTAAAAGCAATGGTAAATGCTGAAAGCATAATAAAATAAAACAGAAAAATTTGTAATTCCAGAAAGTCATACAGGCACTCCATCTTAAGAAAAACAAACAGTAGTTTAGAGTATGTTTACAAAAAAAGATAAATGTTTTATTTGCTTAATTTAGTATTTCATTTTCCTCTTTAAGTTGAGTAATATGTGTAATGTTACATGTTGTATAGTGTTAAACCATATAACATTTTTATAGTTAGGCAGTTCACATTTAAATTACTGCGTTCTAAAAGAACAATTTCCAAGATCAAGGAGAGAATAAACTCAAATTTAGTTTTAAAAAGCAGAACTTACAGTACAAACTGAAAAAATTCTAAAAATTATGAAGAATGTGCCTATTGATTTAGAAATATTTTGTCTATATTTTTGCAAATCAGTTTTTAATGTACAAATAGAAACAATAAACCTACCGTCAGGTCTCTGAGCCCAAGCTAAGCCATCATATCTCGTATGACCTGCACATATACATCCAGATGGCATGAAGCAAGTAAAGAATCACAAAAGAAGTGAAAATGGCCGTTCCTGCCTTAACTGATGACATTCCACCATTGTGATTTGTTTCTGCCCTATCTTAACTGAGCAATTAACCTCGTGAAATTCCTTCTCCTGGCTCAGAAGCTCCCCAACTGAGCACCTTGTGACCCCCGCATCTGCCTGCAAGAGAACAACCCTCTTTGACTGTAATTTTCCACTACCCAACCAAATCCTATAAAACGGCTCCACCCCTATCTCCCTTCACTGACTCTATTTTTGAACTCAGCCCACCTGCGCCCAGGTGATTAAAAAGCTTTATTGCTCACACAAAGCCTATTTGGTGGTCTCCTCACATGGATGCATGTGAAATTTGGTGCCGTGACTCGAATCAGGGGACCTCCCTTGAGAGATCAATCCCCTGTTTTCCTGCTCTTTGCTCCATGAGAAAGATCCACCTACGATCTCGGGTCCTCAGACCAACCAGCTCAAGGAACATCTCACCAATTTTAAATCGGGTAAGCAGTCTCTTTTTACTCTCTTCTCCAACCTCTCTCACTATCCCTAAACCTCTTTCTCCTTTCAATCTTGGTGCCATCCTTCAATCTCTCCCTTCTCTTAATTTCAGTTCCTTTCCTTTTCTGGTAGAGACAGAGGAGACGTGTTTTATCTGTGAACCCAAAACTCCGGTGCTGGTCACGGACTCGGGAAGACAGTCTTCCCTTGGTGTTTAATCACTGCAGGGATGCCTGCTTGATTATTCACCCAAGTTTCAGAGGTGTCTGATCACTGCATGGATGCCTGCCTTGATCCTTCACCCTTAGTGGCAAGCACCATTTTCCTGGGGGGCAAGTACCCGCCCCCCACCCCTTCTCCCCGTGTCTCTACCCTCTCTTTTCTCTGGACTTGCCTCCTTCACTATAGGCAATCTTCCACCCTCCGTTCCTCCTTCTTCTCCCTTAGCCTGTGTTCTCGAGAACTTAAAACCTCTTCAACTCACACCTGGCCTAAAACCTAAATGCCTCATTTTCTTCTGCAATGCTGCTTAACCCCAATACAAACTCGACAATGGTTCCAAATAGCCAGAAAATGGCACTTTCAATTTTTCCATCCTACAAGGTCCAGATAATTCTTGTCGTAAAATGAGCAAATGTTCTGAGGTGCCTGACGTCCAGGCATTCTTTTACACATCAGTCCATCCTTAGTCTCTGTTCCCAATGCAACTTGTCCCAAATCTTCCTTCTTTCCCTCCCGCCTGTCCCCTCAGTCTCAACCCCAAGCATTGCTGAGTTTCTACGGACCCATCTGACCTCTCCCCTCCTCCCCAAGCTGCTCCTTGCCAGGCCGAGCCAGGTCCAATTCTTCCCCAGCCTCCACTCCTCCACCCTGTAATCTTTCTATCACCTTCCCTCCTCACACCCGGTCTGGCTTACAGTTTCTTTCTGTGACTAGCCCTCCCCCAGTTGCCCAACAATTTCCTCTTAAAGATGTGGCTGAAGCTAAAGGCATAGGCAAGGTTAATGCTCCTTTTTCTTTATCAGACCTCTCCCAAATCAGTTAGAGTTTAGGCTCTTTTTCATCAAATATGAAAAACCCAGCCCAATTCATGGCCCGTTTGGCAGCAACCCTGAGATGCCTTACCGCCCTAGACCCAGAAGGGCCAGAAGGCTGTCTTATTCTCAATATGCATTTTGTCATCCAGTCAGCTCCTGACATTTAAAAAAAAGCTCCAAAAATTAGATTCCAGCCCTCAAACCCCACAACAGGACTTAATTAACCTCACCTTCAAGGTGTACAATAATAGAGGCAGCCAAGTAGCAATGTATTTCTGAGTTGCAATTCCTTGCCTCCACCGTGAGAGAAACCCCAGCCACATCTCCAGCATTCAAGAACTTCAAAATGACTAAGCCTCAGCAGTCAAGCATTCCTACAGGACCTTTTCCATCAGGATCTTTCTTCAAGTGCCAGAAATCTGGCCACTGGGCCAAGGAATGCCTGGAGCCCAGGATTCCTCCTAAGCTCTGTCCCATCTCTGTGGGACCCCACTGGAAATTGGACTGTCCAACTGGCCCCAACGCTCTGACTGACTCCTTCCCAGACCTTCTCGGCTTAGCAGCTGAAGACTGATGCTGCCCGATCACCTCGGAAGCCTCTTGGACCATCACAGATGCTTTGGGTAACTCTTACAGTGGAGGGTAAGTCCGTCCCCTTCTTAATCAATATGGAGTCTCCCCACTCCACATTACCTTCTTTTCAAGGGCCTGTTTCCCTTGCTTCCATAACTATTGTGGGTATTGATGGCCAGGCTTCTAAACCTCTTAAAACTCCCCAACTCTGATGCCAACTTGGACAATATTCTTTTATGTACTCCTTTGTAGTTATCCCCACCTGCCCAGTTCCCTTATTAGGCCGAGACATTTTAACTATATTACCTGCTTCCCTGACTATTCCTAGGCTACAGCCACATCTCACTGCCGCCCTTTTCCCCAGTTCAAAGCCTCCTTCACATCCTCCCCTTGTATCTCCCCATCTTAATCCACAAGTATAGGACACCTCTATTCCCTTCTTGGTGATGGATCATGCTCCCTTTACCATCCCATTAAAACCTAATCACCCTTACCCCGCTCAATGCCAATATCCCATCCCACAGCACACTTCAGGAGGATTAAAGCCTGTTATCACTCGCCTGTTACAGCATGGCCTTTTAAAGCCTATAAACTCTCCTTACAATTCCCCCATTTTACCTGTCCTAGAACTGGATGAGCCTTACAGGTTAGTTCAGGATCTGCTCCTTATCAACCAAATTGCTTTGCTTATCCACCCCATGGTGCCAAACCCATACACTCTCCTGTCCTTGATACCTCCCTCCACAACCCATTATTCTGTTCTAGATAAACCTTGCTGACCCCATAGATCCTAAATCCTTTCCCCACTCCTCTTTCCATTCCTTGAAGACAGCTTTAGAGACTGCTTCCACACTAGCTCTCTCTGACTCATCCCAACCCTTTCATTACACACAGCCAAAGTACAAGGCTGTGCAGTCGGAATTCTTATACAAGGACCGGGACCACACCCTGTAGCCTTTTTGTCCCACTACCCACCCAAATCCTATAAAATGGCCCCACCTCTATCTCCCTTCTCTGACTCTCTTTTCTGACTCAGCTCGCCTGCACCCAGGTGATGAAAAAGCTTTACTGCTCACACAAAGCCAGTTGGGTGGTCTCTTCACATGGATGCGCATGAAACCTACCCTTGGTTCCATTCAACAAATAGAGTTAGAGGCACATCATATTATTCGGGTGCTTTATGCTAAATGTTAGAAATAAAAAATGTGACCATTTTTATCTTTAGTTTGTCAACCTAAATAATAAAGTAGGAGACTTTCTAAAATAAAATGGTATTTATTTGAAAAAGGGATTTCAATGGGAATATGTATGCCATAGAAAACTGTATGCCTATTTAGGTAGGTAAAGGAAGACACATTTTTAAAGGAAAAATGAGGAGGATTATATAATTATTTTGAGATAATTATTCTTGGCTATAAGGATCAGTAAAAGACTGGACAGACACTTACTAGGCAGATGTCCTGGCAGAAGTGTTTTTTTGTATAAAGTTGCAAAATGGCCTTTGTGCAAAGTTGTGGTTTCAACAGAGTATTGTGTGGTAGCTCTTGTTATCATGCATTTGTGTCTGAGAGCTGCCTTGTCATCGCCTTCCTGGGCTTCATAAAGGAATTTTAGCACTAGTGGCCCCATTTTGATTCTAACAACTGTCACAAATTTTCTACCCATAATACATATTTGTGTCACTGAAAGGTGGAGCTGTAGCCAAGGGGAAAAAATGCAAACCACTCTGAATCCAATAATAAAATTGCTTGCATTTCTTGCTACACCTTTTTAAAACAGAACGTTCAAATTTAAAACATAATTATCCAGATATTTTAATTTTTCCAATGGTTTATCTTATTAGTAAAAATACCAGCAGTTTACCTGGTGAGATTATTGCTAGATTAAAATTTACTGAGGAGGTATCTCTCTGGTCATATTAAAATGACTGTGCACAACTATTTGAAACAAAAATATCTATTGGAATGCAGATGATTAAGCTGGCAGGAAAATACCTGCACGATTTTGAGTGTTTGTGTATTTTCAACTTTAATAATTATTAATACTATCTATTCCTAACTAAATAGTTAAGGAATCGCATCCTTAGAAAGTAGAAATTAAAACCAATAAATTGTTTTTAATTATCATAGAAATATTAAAAATACTTCCGTTTTGTTTAAAAATAGAACTCAACATTTATTCACCAATTTATTTGATAAGATTGATTAACCATAATATGACATCATTTAGATATAAATGTATGATACAGATATGTGACTCTGTGTGCATAAGGAGCAACAACTAGAAATATAAATGGAGTGCTTTTTCATAATAGTTTATGAAACAAAAACTACTTTAAATATATATTAATAAAACTGTGTTTCACTGTAATAAAAATGTGCTAAAAAATGGATGTAGCGCAGTTCACAAAGTAAGAACCATAACCCCTTCCTCTTTTCTTTTCAGTTCTGGTACAGCTAGTTTGAGGCTAGTCAGGATCAGCATATTCAAAGATAATAATACAGCAATAGAGCATGAGATTTGCATCTCCACTTTAGATTTCTCACTCTCAAAACTCTTTTTGCCTTATCATTGCAGCTACCAAAAGGCTTAGCAAATACAGCTGGAGTGGAATCTTTCACTTATTTCAAACTGAAAATTTGATTGTTCATGTCCATTTCCAGCAGCAAGCCATGTCTGCAGAAATGTGATAAATCCAACCAAAGAACAGGACAGACTTGGTGATGTATGCAAATAAAATATTAACCCACATCTGTAAGCGTTAATGTAGCAAATTCTATTATAGATATTATGTATATAACTTAATTTCATTTATGCTTGACATTGAATGGCCTCTTCAAACTGAAAAATATTGAATCTGCCTTTCAAGTAATATAGGTTCATTTAAACATGCCTAATATTATTATGCCATTGGCAAATTTACTTCTGTCATTTAGATCAAAGGCATATATTTTCTGCATTTCTATGCCTGCTTCTCAGAAATACCACTGTTCTTTCTTCCCATTAATGACTTAATGCCTTGTAATTCTTCAGAATATAGAAAATTGCATAACTAAATTGCATAAGTGATCTCATTTTTCCAAAAAACAATCTTTGTCTCCTTGTGCAATTACATTGTTATTTGTTTATCCATGCTGTGCTTTAATTCATTTAAATAATTTATTTTAAGAAAGCAGTGTATTACAGTGGGAAAGAATAATAACAATTGAGTAAAAAAAAAATCCAAGCTCGCCAGATGAAAATATATTTTTTTCTAATATAAAGAGAGAATTTTGATATCTGAATAAAGGAACTAAACACTGTAATAAAACATGTATTAGGATAAATGTATAGAAAATAAATATGTCATGACTGAATCTAGCAAATAATTCTACTATGAGCATATGCTAAATTTAAAAAAGGATCAAGACTTGATTCTGTTGGACTGTATATCAAAAATCAAATAAAAAAGAAAAAGAATAAAAGGGGAGGAAAGTGGTGAGGCAAATTGAACTCCTTCTAGAAAGGCAGTAGAGTCTAAAATCAAAACAAAATAAAATACAAAGTCCCATTTTAAATATCTTAATATTGAGGAATGTCTTCAAGCATAAAAGTCTCTATTGCTTCTTCTGCAATAAAAAACATATAGAATATTTTTTCTTTAAAAAGTTAGTATTTCTTTTTTGATAAGATTAATATAGTAGATCTCTATTTATTTGTAAAAGATTGATGTTTTGTGTTTTAGAAAAAAATGTATTTGGACTATGAGTAGAATTATTGGTTAAGTTATAACTGTTTATTTAGCTGGTGGTTACTGGACATCTTTTCCAGTCATTATTCTCATCCAGATCAGTTGCGATTTTTTAGTTTACTAAGGCTTTGCTGTGAGTCTATGTTCAATGATGCTATCACCACATATGTTGTATTACAATTACTCTTTATACATACTGTGAAAAATAGAAACAGTATACAAGGAAACATTTCCTTTTATTAATCCCTTATAGATATTATTGCTGAAGCTGTCTATTGATGTGGCAGTTTTATTAGTTAGAAAATTGTAAGAGTACATCCCTATAAAGAGTAGCTCTTTGGAATCATAAATTGGAAATAAAGCAATCTCTCCCTTGCCGCTTTTTCATTTTGATAAATTATATTGATGAGAAGTATGATAAAACAAAGTTTTCACAGTGGAAGGTTCTACTTGTATTTTTAAGACACAAATAAATTACCTTGGTTTACTAGTGTGCTGCTACTTTTTGAGAAGTCTAGATTGATCATAGGAGGCAGAATGGTGTAATGGTTTGGAGTTTAAAAAATTAAATTTGCTCTTTGTCTTCAAAATTTACTCTATGACATTGAGCAAGGTAATCAGCCTTTGTGAGTGTCAATTTTCTGGTTTGTAAGACCAATAAAATGTTTACTGCCTTGAGGGTTTTGATAGGTTTTTGGAGTGATGTAATGACACATGATCCTTTCCAAGTAGCATAACTCAACTAGCATAAAATTCATATATTAGATTAGATGGCTAGGATGAAACCTACATTACCACACAAAACAAATTTGACTTTTTCTTCATTGAAGTTCACCCTATTCTTTAAGTGGCTATATTGTTCCAAATTCCCTAAAATACTGCAAGTTGAAATAAATACTGCCATTGCAGTAGACAGATAGAAAAGTTATAGATTATGTTACTATATCCAAAGTAGTCTTAATAAGAGTAAGATTAATCATTATTAATGATTTCCAATAATAATTGTTATTAGGCATTTTGGTGTTGGGAACTCTTGAAGTTGCCAAAAAGAAGAAAATAGATAATACCTGAAAGTATGTTCCCTAAATTTTCCACAATTTTTGTATTACAGAATTCAATTTAGGAGTAGAACATATGATAGGAGAAAATAACCCACATTTTTGGTGTTATATAATTTAGCCCAGACATCCATAGTGAAATATTGAAGATGAGTACAAAACAATCAGGTAAAGATGAAGATGTCAATAATCCAAGATGAAAGAACAGCATCCTTACAGGATTGGAGACCAGAAGAAGAGTAGTATTTTTTGGATATAGAAAGTAGGATATAGGAGCCATGGTGAGAGAGGATAATAGAAGTGAGGCTATTAGATGATTTATATGTCATCCATACAGAGGGTTGTGGCCCATCAAAATTTTAGTTTAGAAATATCATTGTTGTGGTAGCTTGGAAAGTGGAATAAAATCAGAAGTGTAGAGACTACCTTAGAGGCAGTTTTAGGAAACCATCAAAGAGATGATGGAAAACCCAAAATATTGGATTAATGGAAAAACTGAGGAAGTGAAATTAACTAGAACTTTATGACTGATGAAAGAAGAGGAAAGCCACTAGCCTCTGGATTGCTGTCTTTTTAGTTATGCCAGTCTGAGACTCAGAAGAGACATCTTTGGTTGGGACATCATTTTAGAAAGTATTGGTGGTCTTAATGTTAAAATAATAACTTAGTTGTGTTTACTTAGTACAGTTTTGAACACTTTGTAATACATAGAGAAAAGACTACTCTGTTGATCTGCAATGATTTTTAAGTTTTAACTAAATATTAAAATATTTTGAAATACATCAATGTAAGATTCTTTCCTTCTATAATATTTACTTTTATATTGTCACTATATCTTTATATTAGTATTGAGTTAACATAGATTTCTTTAATCGTATTATTCCTGTCCCCTCATCTGCAGCATGTAATCTTTAAAGTTAATATGTTCTCATTCAAAAGATAACATATTCTAGGAAGAAGGATAATTATGGTTATTCTGACCATGGAGTACATTAAATGTGCGTACACTTTACATTTTATGGATTAATTTTCCAATATTTTAAATTAATTTTGTAGGCCAAAGAATAGCTATGAAAGTTTCATTTATGGTGTTTTGGATTAGAGGAACAGGCTGGGAGAATGTGTGTGCAGGGAAAGCTGGGGTTTGTTTTGTGTTTGTTTTAGTCAGTGTACAGATTATATAATAACTTACTTGCTTGAACAAATTTTCTGAAAAGGACTATATTATTAACAATGTGAAATCTGACTCTTATCTTTACAACACATTTGGAAAACACCTACTTTCTGAACTAAATTCGTATGCTTTTAAATTCCATTAAGGAATACATTTGCAGGTTTCTCTCCAGGGTATTACTGAGTTGTATTTATTATGATGATCAGAATATATAGCAATTAAAAATCTAACCATCTGTGATAAACCATTTGAGAAATCCAAGACTCTAAAAAAGATAAATACCTTTTGACATATTAAACTTTTGACACATGTATAGGAACCACATACAACTATACAAAAAATTTTTTTAATTATTTTATACAGTTTTAGGATAAACAGGACAAATTTATCTTACTAAGTTAAGACAAACATAGTACTATTAAACACTGTCCTTAAAAAAAAGGACGCAAGATCTGTGTCCATTTGTTTATTTACTATTTTTATTTTATAATTATTTAAAAATTAATTTTTGGCTAGGTATGGTGGCACATGGCTGTAATCCCAACACTTTGTGAGGCTGAGGCTGGAGGATCTTTTAACCCCAGGAGTTAGAGACCAACCTGGGCAACATGGTAAGATCTTATCTCTACGAAAAAAATTAAAATATTAGCTGAGCGTGGTGATATGCATCTGTACCACCAGCTACTCAGGAGGCTGAGGCAGGAGGATTGCTTGAGCTCAGGAGTTTGAGGTTGCAGTGAGCCATGTTCGCACCACTGCCTACCAGCCTGGGTGACAGAGGTCCCAGCTATCTGCAAGAGGTCTCTGTTTTGAGACAGCAAGACCCTGTCTCAAAAAAATAATTTTTAATAAAATCTGTAATTACAGATGTAGGAGCCCTAGCTGTGTCATAATCTACATTTCAAGACTTCTTGAGTTCAGTTGCTTCTGATCCTTAGCACAACATCTGTGAACTGAATAAATCTTAATGATGCCATCTCTGTAGCAAATGACCACACATTTCAAATAATACATAAGCCTAGAATAAAAGTAATTTATCCTTTCATCTGGAACAGGTGCTTCCTGAATGACTTTTAATAAGTCATGCTTCAGTTTGATTCCCACAGCTGTGAGAGTCTGTCCCAAGCAGGTGACAGGTTGCTTATCCACTGAATTAACATTTGTCACTTTAAATAATGCAAACATTTTTTCAGTACCTCCATATCATTACATTTATGTCATTTTGAATGTTCATTATACAAATACGTCATCCTAGTTTTACCTTGAAAGCTACATCAGCCACTCTTTGTAACACAGAAGCTACTAAAGTAATCCAAGTAACAGTTTGGGTAATTCTAAAAGTCTGTTTCCATTCAAGCAATGTACATCAGGTGAGAAGAACATTATCTGATTTTTGGCTTAGCAGTTTTGTGCACTCATAAGGTCAGAAGTACTTAATCCTGACTTTTTGTTGGGATCTAGAAACATCGGTAACAATGTTTGTTTGTTTTTTTTTCATTTTATTTTGAGCCTCACAATCACTCTCTGCCTTACTCCTCAGCAGGTAGTGATGTTCCTTGACTTCCCTAGCATAGAGACAAAACCATAGTGGTCTAATTTTTGGAAAGGTAACATTTAAGGAAAGATGTAGGGCACATCAAGCATATATGATGTAAAATTGCATACATCAGATTACCATGACCTTTTTATTTTGAACTACCCCTAAGTGTCTCCGTGTGCCATCTTTCTCCTCTGCAGAAGACCCAGGCACCAGTATTCTTTTATGTACTCAGCCTTCATTTTTCTCATATGGATGGACAGCTTATTACTTCAAGCAATTACAACTCTGCCTGATAAATTCCTATGCTGGCAAGAATGTGAGAAGAGGCTAGAAGTATGGGGAATTAAGTACTCCTCATCTCCTACCCTGACTCACCTTCCTCAACCACAGTCATCAAAGAGTGATTAATGGAGCTTTGGTAAATAAAGTACTCAATCTGTGAAGTGTGTTCTCACAGTGTCCCACACCTCCCCGAGGGGCTCACCTGCCCACAGCAGTGCTCTCTGCTCTTCAGTCCACCTAGATACTCTCTTCTCTTTGATCTTGAAGCCTCCTTATCCTGACCCATCATTCTTGGAACCACTAACCTATAAAGTAATTGCAAATCAGACTCCTGTTTCAGGGTCTGTTTCTGAGGATCCTCAACTTCAGACACTGTAAATTTTTTTCATGGTAATGGTAAGGAAAATGCATTATTTTATCTGAAATATTCATTTTGTAATCTTTTCATTAATTATCCAATTGTTGAACAGAAAAAAATTGCTTATTACTTTAAAAAATGCACACACATATTAATATCTGTTTAGAATCATAGATTTCTGGCAAGTCAGCGTATCCATAATGTAAACAGATTTTTCTAACAAAAAAAAATAGCTTTAGAGTTTCCCTCAACCTTATTCATCCTTATATTTCATACATTTTAATACAACTTTTTTGTTATCTGGCTCCCAAGCCCACTGCAACTAGGAGCTTCAAATTAGAATTGAAGAGAAAGTGTGCTAGTGCTAAAAAGACAAAAAAAAATCAAATGCAAAAAAATTCAGGAAACAAATCATTTTACAACCCCATCATCTAGAACAAAGCTGATACATCTAGTTCGGCCTATACATAAATAAATTAATATTCATAATTTTGATTCTAGAATATTAAGAAAATCTTCAGTGATGTTTAGAATTATTTTTTTAAGAAATTTAAAATGTTTAATATTTTTAATGGCAAATAAAAATGTATTGCTCCAACAACCCATGCTCACCCCCAAAAAATCACATGGCAGAACTCATTTTAAAAATGCAAATATCTAAGAGAAACATAATCTAAACTGAAATTTTGACAGTTGGACTTTACAAAATGAATGTTTTCTTTATTCATGTATAAAAATGGATGCGTAAAGGAATCCACATAGGAAAGTAAATAGTTACATATCTTTAGAAAGTAAGTCATTTCAAATTGTTAAAACATTGAAATGAGAAAATATGTTTTGTCTGAAATAATGGTTTTTTTCTAATTTATAGAACAAATTGTTGCCTTTACTAAAAGCTCAAAAGATCAAAGGAAGATAAGTAGGGATTTTAAAATTTCTCACTAAAATATATATATATAATATGCAAATTAAGAAGAAAGTTTATCTAAGAAAAGGTTTATAAATAGAGCAAACAATAAAGAGATAATTTGCAAATTAACCATATTTTTATTTCTTACATCATGTTATATACATGCTGGATCAACCTGTCAGTGGCATTCAAAACAAAATTGTGGAAACATGTTATTAAAATAAGTATTAAATATACTGAGTTCTAATCTACAACTATGCCCAGAAACAATAAAATGAGTCTAGTATAGAAAATTGTTCCTTTTTATGCTCAATATTTTCATGTTTAATAATAAACATATATTATTTTTCTCATGTTTGATGTCTTTTAATATAATTCAGTAACTAAATTCTCTTTCAAATCCTGTAGGTTTTTGCAGATACATTTGGGAAATCATTTACCATAGTTTCTGAATCCTTACAGTGACTTTGGAGCAATACTGTTTTAATTATCCATAAAATTTTTTATTATTTTGCCTAAAATAGAAACACCACAAGAGGATGTGATGCTTTAGCTGTTTGTTCTGAACATATTTTGGAAAAAGAAGACAATGATTATGTGTTTACACATACAGATGTCAGTTTATATATTTCAGATTTAGTTGAAATTAAGTGCATATGTGAACAGATTTTAAATTTGTTTCCACACTTTCTCTTCTGATACATTCATGTGAAAGTATGATAGCTTTCATTGCCATGTATATTTTTAATATAGTGAACTTTTTCAAACTATTTGATTATCATTCCATTAGCCTTCAAAACCAGAATCTTACTTTGTCTCCTGTAAAATAAAGGAATTTGTTCTAGGGCCTCTGTGATTTCTTTTAATGCGGTGATTCAGAGTGTCCAGATCACAATAAGCTCCTTGAACCTGAGCACCAACTATCTATTGGTGATGCCCTTACCTGTCACTTGGACTCTTTTCTTCTTCATTCCAATCCTTTGTGGTTAGTGAACTGTTTCACATATGGAGTCCTTCTTAATACATAAAAGAGACCCAAAGTTTTTATTTCTTGATTTATATATGTCTCATGTTCATATCTAAGTATAAACTCCCAGAAGCAGAAACTAATTTAGTATTCTCCCTTTTTTGGAGGATTAGTATTCTCTCTTGTTCCTAGCACAATACTTTGTGGAGAGCAGACTATTAGCACATATGATGAATATGTATGTATTAATTGATTTAATTGCTTGGTTGATAATTATGTGTTGCAGCTAATAAGTTTCTTCCTTTCAAACTCTTCAGTAACAATCCAAATATATGAACTGGGCAAATCTGAAATTTATTTGTTTTAAAGGCTATCATTATGGCATAATTTTTATTTTTTTCATTGAACCTTGCTAAAAAATCGACCTAGAATAGTCCTCTAATGTTAACTGTTTCCTCAGAGATTTCTTATACAAATTATGTATAGATGCATAGCAATACTGCTTGCTTTAAATAACTGAATTTTGTTTTGTTTTTTGGGTTTTTGTTTTTTTACAGCTGTGAATTTTTTTTAATCAGTGCAAACAAAATAAGATAATATTTATAATAAGAAATGCTTTAATAAAGTTCCTGGTCCTTCAAGTACAGAAAGTGAAGAATAAAATTGTCCCTGTATCCTGCAGGAAAATTATCTCTGTTGGTAGCCTGCAAGTAATTTAGGAAATACATGCTCCACTAGTTGTATGGTAGAGCTGGTTGCCTGGGATAAGGTACAATATTTAAAATTTGTTTATGCTTCAATCATTTTTTAAAAAATATTCATAATTCAGAGAGCTGACAGCAGAGAAGGCACTGTTTATCTGCAATTATGCAATATTTGAATTAAATGATAAATAACAAGAAAAAGTAAAGACTATTTATTTTTCAGCTCAGTGATTCTCAAATTTCAGTATAGACAACAACCCCATGGGGTTCATATTACCAATTCCTTGGAAGTATTCTAGGCCTACACATTAGAAATCTCTGTGTGTGGATTCCAGGAATATGCATTTTTAAAAGACTTCTGCTCAGTCTAAGCCAGTGAGGATTCAAAACAAATTTGAAACTTACTCTTGAAGTTCCCTTAGGATAAGATTGGTCATGGTTCAAGGCATAAAATAGACATGCAATAGACACTTGAAAGGTTGAAGTCTAAATATGATTAACCTGTAAAATGTGTTGAAATTCTAAAACTATAACTTTTTCCACATCACTTAAACAGTCTCATTTTCTTTAACTATTAAAATAAGTTATGACAGTTGTTCTTACGTAAATATTGTTTAATGAATTTTAGTTTCACAATATGGATGGTGCATACAGATTTCTACTGAAAATTAACATAATTTTCAGTAGAAAAGAATGGCAGTGCTTTTTCTTACTTTTTTCATTCACTGTCAATTATTCCTCGATTAGACTCATAAATAATTTATATAAAGTTCAATCTCTCCAGTTATCATTATCATTAGCTCTTGAATTAAAACTGCTTCTTCTATATATTAACATAATATATGACCCAAGAATTGTGAGTCATAGCAACATTTATCAAAGTGAAATTGCTAGCCAAATAATAAATATTTAGACAAAATTTAATGAACTAGCTTACTGCTAATTCATATGTATTTTGAATACTTCCTGTAGGTCCACATTTTCTTGATCATGAGTAATTACACATAATTATATGTCTATAGAGAAAAAACTTAATCTTTATTTTTATGCTTCCTTGAAATGTGTATATGGTCTCAAAATCATTATATTGCTGATTTTTAAATTTCTATCTTCCATTATGCAAAATAAATGACCAAAATATCCATATGTATATAATTCCTTTCTTTCTCTTCAAATAATTTATGACTTTGGGTACATCTCTTCACTTTTTGCTCTGAAACTAAAAGCATAATTGTTTTGAACTAGTTATCTCTAAACCCATCTCCAATACCATTTTGTAAATTAATGTCAGCCTACTGCAATTGTGAAACATCTGCCAACTTAGTTATTTGTTCCTTTTTTCACTTAGTCAGCAGCTACTAGGTCCCAAGTACTAGATTTAAAAAGTGGATGACACAAGAGCTAAACTAAATAGCAAAGTATATGTAAAGACATTAATTATTTTACTGCATACACCAATAATCAAGCCAAAAAATAAAAACCATTACTCTGCTCCAAGACTAAAAAAGCCAATAAATGAAAATTTTCTTCATAATTTTTTCTTTAGAAATGCAAAATCCACTCATTTATTCAACATACATATAGAAAGTTTTTATCTTATACCAGGTTCTGTGGTAGGCCATCAAGATACACAAATAAGACAGTGACTGTCTATAGGGAGTTCAAACCTAATGATAGGAACACATGTACATGAGAAATTAATACATATTTTAATGTAAAAAATAAATATATCTCGAATACTCCACTAAGGTAATATTATACTTATGATGTTGATTAAACTATTTATGATTTATATGTTATAGATACAAAGTGACGCAACATCCCATCTAGCTGGGGACACAAACACATGCACACAATACACACATGCTCACTTGTAATACTTAAACATAAATAATAAAGTGAGAGGAGAGGAAACTAAATTTTTTGGTTTTGTAATTTGTACAAAGCATGAATTATGTGGTTTATGTAAATCACATTTAATCAAAACCAATCAGTAAATATGAGCAATATTAGTAATTATTTTATGATGAGGAAAGTTAGATTCAGAGAGACCAAGTACCTTCTGCAAAAACTAATATAATCATAGTTCAAACATAAGTCTGACTTGTTGTCACAGATGTGCTTTCCATAATTTTGCACTATGTTAACAGTGTGAATTAGATTAAAAATAAAAGAAAGAAAGCAGGTGACACAGTAAAACTTTCTGCAGGATTTAAATGATGTGCTTTACATGGGATTTAAAGAAGTTGTAGTAGACATGAAAGAAACAGAATGTGAGTGAAATTTGATGGATGAATGTGATTTGATATACGAGCTACCATTGCATATGTATAATTAGTGCAGTTGTGGTATTCTTTGAAGATTGAGCATAATTACTAAAATAGCCTTTTATCTATAGAAAGGACACTTATCGGCTGAGAAAGAATGAATATTTGGAAAGGAATGAACATGTGGAAAATAATGAATAAATCAATTTTCCATAACGTTGGATTATAAACATTTCTGTGTGTAAGATACATAGAGCAAGTATTAAAAATGCAAATTACCCAGACTTTCTGGAGTCCAACTCATCAGCATCTCTCCGAGTAAGACCCTGGAATTTTTGTTTTAATAAACACGATAGAGGCTTTTGATACAGGTGGTTTGAAAACTATTGCTTGAGAAGCATTAGCTCGAAAGGGAATGATAATCGTAGTGAAAGACAGTATATGAATGGATGATAGATAGATGAAATCATTGATTTTGGACACAAATTTGAGGGGATAGCCATAAAATATTGTGTTTTTTTAAAATAATGGGATTTGCAAAGTAATGTGTTTTAAATGCTAATGGAAGATGACTATACAATCCTCTATATGATGTTAATAAGAACTAACTAAAATAAAATAGAGCTTTCTATTGCTTTCCCAAGACATATGAATTCTATAATAATAATAGCAGCTAATATTTAACTAGCCCAAAATATGAGTTAAATACTATTCAGCATGTTACATAGGTAAATTACTGAAGATAACAGCAATCCAATGAGTTATATCTCATAAGTATCTCACTGTTACAGATTAGACAACTGAGAAGAAGTGGCTAGGTGATTTGCCCCCAAATGATTGGAAAGTGGCATGATTACAGAGTCCATGAACTTCATTGATATAAGGTACTAATTTGATGGTTTCAACTTATTTTTATTTTAAGTATTCAGGTTAATCTGTAGTGAAAATTGTTTCAGTTAATTTATTTTTCATTTAGTAAATACTTTCCAAATATTTACAGTATTTCCTCCAAATTCCTACAGAAGTTTTAAATATTATTTATAGTATAAAATGTCACTATAGAGATCATTTCAGATCTATTTGACATGTATCTTAGCCATTTACTTTATTTCCATCCATCTTTGTCTTAGACATACAGAAATATGTCCACAAATAATGGGAAAATAAATGTAAATTCACTTAAGTGACTGGAAAAACCCATAACCAGTGTCAACTGTCAAGTGAATTAGAAAAACGGAATGAATAATGACTGAGCATATATAATTCTGCTGATGGTGTGGATTTACTGATACGTATGTGACATTTGTCCCACAAATAAATACGGAGAGGAGTGAACTTTTTAAAACACATTAAATATATCTTTGGGGAATTTATGACAAACTTTTCTTAAAATAGGTTACTTGGATTGTTCTACTTACACCCTTACATAGCACCCATCCTAACAGTACCAGTTTAGCATACAAATGACAAGACTTGCAGTAAAGCTACTCTTTTGAAAAAACAAAGGCAAAAGCAAAACACAATGCTTACTGCATTGTCATAAGTAGACATTTAAATAAAACATCAAATTTATTTATTTATTCAGAATAAATAAAAAGCTTAACGAAGAAACCACTTAACATATGAGTTGAAAACTTTAAAATATATGTCAATTGGGGTGCCCAAGGCTGTTAACCATCAAAAGTTGAAAGTGTGCTGTTTACGTAAATTAATGGAATTTTTAAATATGGTCAGGAATAATTATATATCTGAGAGATAATATGTTCAATAAAATGAACTATGCAGATGAAATTGTGCTGTCTGGAAAGATCTCAAATATATAACTTACTAGATAAGTAACTCTAAGCATAAACTAGCTCTGTTTCAGTTTGCCTTTATATAAAAAGGAATATTACAACATACCTGATATAGTTATTCTTAAAACAAAATGTGCTAATGCAGGTCGGAGAGTTCTGAATCAACATAAGCTCGCCACACCTATTTAGCTATTTTCATCATCATTATCTCTGAAAACATAAATGAAATAATATAGGCAAAACTTTTTTAAATGATAGTTCTTCATCTTATTATTTATATAGTAAACCATGTACAATGTAAACTATTAAAAGTGTAAAACCTCAATATATAAAACTCCTAGAAGAAACATAAACAAAATCCTTCATGACCTTGGGGTGGACAAAAGCTTCTTAAATGGAAAATCTAAGGCATGAAACATAAAAGAAAATTTTGATAAATTGAATTTCATCAAAAGTAAATACTTTTGCTCTTCACGGGTCATCAGTAAGAAAATGAATAACAGAGTCATAGAATGGGAGAAAATATTCACTTCATGCATAACTGACAAAGAACTTGTATTGAGAACTCTTAGAAGTCAACAAAGAGGCAATCAACAATATAAAAATAGTCAAACTCTTTAAGAAACAATTCATGAAAGATCATTATGAATAGCCAAATGCACATCAAAAATCTTAACATCATCACTCATCACAGAAATGCAAATTAAAACCATGATACCCTTACACACCCATTAGACTGGCTAAAGTTAAAAAGACTGATTGTTATACTACTGACGGGAATGTAAAATGATACTAGTACTTTTAAAAATTGTTTGACAGCTTTTTTTAAAAAGTGAAAGTTATACCTGTCATATAATCTAGCCAGGAACAGCTATGTTATTGGTAGGACCCATTGCACAATGAATGTATAAAATATAAAAAATTAAATGTAATATACACATATAATAAATTTATTTTCAAGTCTCTCAAGTAATACCATGTATTGTCTCTTGTACTCTCAGTTTTGTTCTAAGAACATAACATTTTATTTCAGTTGAAGAAATAGTTGTTTTTTGTTCGGAATCTAGAAATTAAATAATGTCTGTAATTTTATTACAAACTCTCATACTCTGTTTAAGGTGTGATTTTGCAGATCCATGGCACAGGAACACGGAAATCTTTATTGCATTTGTCATAAGTTACTTCTATCTTTATAGCAATACAAAGGAGCTCCTTAGCTCAGGGTTGAATAATTAAGAATTACTAAATCTGAAACTTGGAATAGGATGAATGACATGACACTTAACTTCATGGATATTTGAGATGCATATTTAATTTCTAAATAAAAAAGAAGATGTAAATTTCCTTAACAAGTGAATTTATCTCTGCTGGGATCATATTCTCTGCTTTATTCATCATTTTGTTTCTTTATTATCCCATGATTATTTTTTATGCCCGCTGCCACATGCGTTATGGGAAAAACAAAATAAATGAACACCAAACAAAAACACACATTCACCGTCTCTTTATTGGACTAAGGTTGAGTTTCAGTTACTAGCTATCACTGACTATATTTCTAGGGATTCAATTCCTGTTCCTACTTGACGCTGCATAAGTTATCAACATTCCTAAACAAGAAATGAGCTCTACTTTTATGATGGCTCTCAAAAATATCAACTATAGCTCTCCGTATCTCTGTGTTTTTTCTTGCTTAGAAATGCTTAGCTTTTCTGAGACCTAGGATGTGCTGCTGCCTAGGTTTATGGCTCACCCTATCTGTCATCCAAAAAAAAAAAAAAAAAGACAATTCCAAGTTGAACATTACATCAGCAAAGTCCATTCTGCCAAGCAGTTTTCCAACTATAGATACTACAAGCTATATAGCAGTTAGAAAATAAAAACATAAAATAATAAATAATTGAAGGAAAAATGATAGATTTTAATGACTTCAGTTGTATTTAGTATGTGTTATATTTTAAATTTTAAAATGACTATGAAACGAGAAAGCGAAAGTGTCAAGAAGACAGTCAGACATATTTATTATGAAGTCAGTGGAGAGCTTGGGTCTAGGATAAGAACCAGTCATTTCAAAAATCACAAATAAATTATAGAAATAGATCATATCATTTATGAAGAGAAAATAAGGAGATGTCCTATTGAGAAAACTAATGTTTACCAGAATAACTGATGAGAAGATGAGGCTTATAAAGAACAGCCAAATCTTCGGAGGAAAACTAGAAATGTGCGGAGTACATGAACCAATGGAGGAAGTGTTTCCAAAGGAGGATATTGTTAATTTAGGATGCTGATGGCTGCGCAAATAAGAGAATAACAGCAAAAGGAGATAGTGTTGTAAAACATGGAAATAATTAGGGCCCTTTCAGACAAGGGGAGTGTTGGAGAAGAAGACAGTCTGGACTGGACTGAGGAATGAGAAAACAAAACAAACAGTGTAAAATCATAAACAAATTCTGTCATTAAAAGAACAGAGAAACAAGACAAAAATGAAAGAGTCGATAAAATCTATGATGGTTTTGGTTTTGTTTTCCTTTCTGTTTTATCATGGAAAATAATACAGCATGGTAGATTTGATACACAGACAAAAAGACATTGGTTTTTCTTTGTTTTTTATTGTTTTGAGACGGAGTTTCTCTCTTGTTGCCCAGGCTTGAGTGCAATGGCACGATCTCGGCTCACTGCAACCTCCGCCTCCTGGGTTCAAGTTCTTCTCCTGCCTCAGCCTCCTGAGTAGCTGGGATTTCAGGCGCCTGCCACCATGCCCAGCTAATTTTTTATTGTTAGTAGAGACGGGGTTTCACAATGTTGGTCAGGCTACTCTTGAACTCCTGACCTCAGGTGATCCTCCCACCTTGGCCCCCGCAAAGTGCTGCGATACAGGTGTGAGCCACTGCACCCGACTTGTTTTTTTGTTTTTGAGAAGGGTCTCGCTCTGTTGCCCAGGCTGGAGGGCAGTGGCATGATCTTGGGTGGCTGCAACCCTGACCTCCCAGGCTCATGTGATTCTCCCACCTCAGCCTCCCAAGGAGCTGGGACTACAGCTGCACGCCACCACGCCAGATTAGAAAGACATTTTTGTTGCAGGAGAGAATGCAGACTAAAGAAAGATGCTCTAAAATTGCTGAAGGGATTCACAAGATCTCAAATGGTGTGTCTTTGATTCGAGACCCACTGTCAAAGGAAAGATTCTAAAGAAGATAGGGATAAAACAAATATTACATTGCACTGTTTTTATGGTTTTTTGGAGAAAAGAATGGTTCCTCTGATGGTTTCTCCTCTTCCATTCCTCATCCCCATGAGAATATGATGAATTCGTCTTTAAGAGCATTATGAATGTGGGGCATATTTGTGGACATTATTAATCTGAAAACTATTGTTGTAACATATGCCTAACTAAAGAAATTTTAAACAATTTGTAATCTTACATTAGAAGCCTGAAGGTGGTTGATTCCAGAATTGGTGGATGCAGTGGTATTCTGGGGCCTCAAAGATCTCCTAATCTTGATCTCTTTCAGTTGCCATTGCCAGAATATGATTTCTACATATATGGTCACAAAATGCATGCAGTCATTGCAGGCATAACTTTCTCAAATTCTTTTTGCCTGATGAGCAGTTTCTCCTTACCAAGTGTCTTACTTAATAGAAGGAAAATATTTCCCTTAGTTTTTTTTCATTAGATATCACTGTACCTTTTGTCTGTAAGAATTTAACATTCCTCTGCTTAAACCAATTATGAACAAAGGGGAATGGAATTACTATACTTGAATTAGAACAGTTATTATTTATTCTGAGAATTTGGGGATAGATTTACTTTCCAGAGCACTGTGAGATCCCAATCTCAAAATGAAAATACTGTGAGTAAACTAGAAGAGAGGAATGGCTCTTAACTAGACAGCTAGTAAATAGTTCTACAAAAAGCAAAATGAAGACAAAATTAAAAGTATAAAAGCACATTTTATTAAGAATGTTTAGTTTTATTTCCAAGCAATTTTGTGCACATACTAGAGTTGCTATGAACACAAATTTAAAGGCAAACTAGTTTAGAGTTACATGTTTTTTTTTTAATTTTTATTTTTATAGATTTTAGTGGTACAAGTGCAATTTAGTTATGTGAATGTATTGCATAGTGGTGACGTCTGGGCTTTTGGTGCACCCATTAACCAAATAGTGTACTTTGTACCCATTATGTAATTTCTCATCCCTCACACCCCTCCCACCCTCTCACAGTCTCCAGTGACTGTTATCTCCATCATTATTTCCATCATTTGTACCTATTGTTTAGCTCACACTTGTAAGTGAAAACATATGGTATTTGGTTTCCTGTTTCTGAGCTATTTCACTAAACATCATGGCCTCAAGTTCTATCCATGTTGCTGCAAAAGACAGAATTTCATTTTGTATGGCTGCATAGTATTTCCTGGTGTATGTATATCAAATTTTCTTTATCCAATTATCCATTGATGGACATTAGGTTGATTTCATGACTTTCCTGTTGTGAATAGTGCTGCCATAAACATACCAGTGCAGGTGTCTTTTTTAAAGGTAATTATTACTTCTCTTTTGGGTAGATAACCAGTAATGGGATTGCTGGATAGTATGGTAATTCAATTTTTGTTTTTTTGAGAAATCTTCATACTGTTTTTCATAGAGGTTGTAATAATTTACATTCCCACCAACAATGTATGTGTGTACCTATTTACCCACATCATTGCCAAAATCTGTTGGTCCTTAACTTTTTAGTAGTTGCTGCTCTGATTGGTGTAAGATGGTATCTCATTGTGGTTTTAATTTCTCTGAAGATTAGTGATGTTGAGCATTTTTCCATATGTTTGCTAGCTGCTTGTATATCTTCTTAGAAACACATCTGTGTGTGTCTTCTGGCTTCTTTTTGTTGGGGTTATTTGTTTTAGAAACCTCTAGCTAAGATTTCTAAAACTGTGTTGAATAGGAGTAGTGAAAGGGGGCATTTTTGTCTGTTTCCAGGTCTTAGGGAAAATGCTTTCAGCTTTTTTTCACTCCGTATGATGTTGGCTCATATTTACTTTTCTAATTAGCCAAACTTGTAATCATACGGGCTTTACTAAGTATTTGTGCGTATGAGCCTATACATTAGAGTGCATTTTTCTGTTGAGGAGTTGTCTAATATTGCAACAATGTATTTAGCTACAGAATTCACAAAATATAATGCTCCTCCTCAGCCAGTTGGCATTGATGTAGTTTACATGGTCAATCTGATCCACCCTAAAAACCCTACATATTATCCAAATATTGATTTTCTTTGTTGTGCTGATCAACAAAAGGTATATTAGTGAAAATGGCTACAGAAATTTTTAGCCTAGTGTCAGTACAACAAATTACTAATGTGTAACAAATTGCGAGAAGTAAAAATGAAAATTATGCATCTTATACACATCTCTTTAATAATAATATTAATATATTAGGCACAAATTTTTTATATTCTGAATATTAATTCCCTAATAAACATAAAACATTAAACTCTTTGTTTATCAAGATTTTTGGTTACTTTTGAAAAATGGATGGGTTATTTTAAAAAGATTTCATAAGGAAAGTTAAATACAATCCTGTAATTCATACAGTTATAAATGATAACATGATTTTCAATTAAACTCATTTTTATGTGTTAAAAAGAAATAAATATGGAAAGTCAAAAGGAAGTGTTATAAGCATTCTATGTTTTCTTTTTCGTATTATTTTACTTTAAGTTCTGGGATACATGTGCAGAAGATGCAGATTTGTTATATAGGTATATGTGTGCCATGGTGGTTTGCTGCATTTGTTGACCTAAGTTCCTCTAAGTTCCCTCCCCTCACCCCACATCCCCCAACAGGCCCTGGTGTATGTTGTTCCCTTCCCTGTGTCCATGTGTTCTCATTGTTCAACTCTCACTTATGAGTGAGAACATGCGGTGTTTGGTTTTCTGTTCCTGTGTTACTTTGCTGAGGATGATGGGGTCCAGCTTCATCCATGTCCCTGCAAAGGACATGATCTCATTCCATTTTATGGCTGCATAGTATTTCATGGTGTATATGTGCCACATTTTCTTTATCCAGTCTGTCATTGATGGGCATTTGGGTTGGTTCCATTACTTTGCTATTGTAAGTAGTGCTGGAAAAAACATACATGTTCATGTGTCTTTATAGTAGAATGATTTATATTCCTTTGGGTATATATCCAGTAATGAGATTCCTGGGTCAAATGGTATTTCTAGTTCTAGATCCTTGAGGAATCTCCATACAGTCTTCGACAATGGTTGAACTAATTTACATTCCCAAAAACAGTGTAAAACTGTAAAAGGCTGGCCGGGTGCAGTGGCTCACGCCCGTAATCCCAGCACTTTGGGAGGCCGAGGTGGGTGGATCACGAGGTCAGGAGATCGAGACCATCCTGGCTAACACGGTGAAACCCCGTCTCTACTAAAAATACAAAAAATTAGCCGAGCCTGGTGGCAGGCGCCTATAGTCCCAGCTATTCAGGAGGCTGAGGCAGGAGAATGGCGTGAACCCGGGAGGCGGAGCTTGCAGTGAGCCGAGATCGCGCCCCTGCACTCCAGCCTGGGTGACAGAGCAAGACTCCGTCTCAGAAAAAAAAAAAAAAGGAAGTGTAAAAGGCTATTTTTCCACAGCCTCACCAGCATCTGTTGTTTCTTGACTTTTTAATGATTGTCATTCCGACTGGCATGAGATGGTGTCTCATCGTGGTTTTGATTTGCATTTCTCTGATAATCAGTGATGTTGAGCTTTTTTTATAGGTTTATTGGCCATGTAAATGTCTTCTTTTGAGAAGTGTCTGTTAACACCTTTTGCCCACTTTTTGATGGAGTTTTTTTTTTTCTTGTAAATTTGTTTAAGTTCCGTGTAAAGTCTGGATATTAGACTTTTGTTAGATGGGTAGATTGCAAAAATTTTCTCCCATTCTGTAGGTTGCCTGTTCACCCTGAGGCTAGTTTATTTTGCTGTGCAAAGCTCTTTAGTTTAATTAGATCTTATTTGTCAATTTTGGCTTTTGCTGAAATTGCGTTTGGCATTTTTGTCATGAAGTCTGCCCATCCCTTTGTCCTGAATGGCAATACCATTGTGGTTTGGGGCTTTACATTTAAGTCTTTAATCCATCTCGAGTTAATTTTTGTACAAGGTGTAAGGAAGGGGTCCAGTTTCAGTCTTCTGCATAGGGCTAGCCAGTTTTCCCAGCACCATTTACCAAATAGGAGATCCTTTCCCCATTGCTTATTTTTGTCAGGTTCATCGAAGATCAGGTGGTTGTAGATGTGTGGTATTATTTCTGAGGTCTCTGTTCTGCTCCATTGGTCTATATATCTGTTTTGGTACTACTACCATGCTGTTTTGGGTACTGTAGCCTTGTACTATAGTTTGAAGTCAGGTATCATGATGCCTCCAGCTTTGTTCTTTTTGCTTAGGATTGTGTTGTCTATTTGGGGTTTTCTTTGATTCCATAAGAAATTTATAGCAGTTTCTTCTAATTCTGTAAGAATGTCACTGGTAGTTTGATGGGAATAGCATTGAATCTATAAATTACTTTGGGCAGTATGGCCATTTTCATGATATTGATTCTTCCTATCCATGATGGTGGGATGTTTTTCCATTTGTTTCTGTCCTCTCTTATTTCCTTGAGCAATGGTTTGTAGTTCTCCTAGAAGAGGTCCTTCACATCCCTTGTTAGCTGTATTCTTAGATATTTTATTCTTTTTGTAGCAATTGTGAATGGGAGTTCATTCATGATTTGGCTCTCTGCTTGTCTATTGTTGGTGTAAAGGAATGCTTGTGATTTTTCCACATTAATTTTGTATCCTAAGACTTTGCTGAAGTTGCTTATCAGTTTAAGTCATTTGGGGGCTGAGATGACATGGTTTTCTAAACATAAAATCCTGTCATCTGCAAACAGAGACAATTTGACTTCCTCTCTTCCTATTTGAATATCTTTTATTTCTTTCTCTTGCCTGATTGCCCTGGCTAGAACTTTCAATATATGTTGAATAGGAGTGGTGAGAGAGGGCATCCTTGTCTTGTTCTGGTTTTCATAGGGAATGCTTCCAGCTTTTGCCCATTCAATATGATATTGGCTGTGGGTTTGTTATAAATAGCTCTTATTATTTTGAGATATGTTCCATCAATACCTAGTTTAGTGAGATGTTTTAACATCAAGGGATGTTGAATTTTATCAAAGGCCTCTTTTGCATCTATTGAGATAATCATGTGGTTTTTGTTATTGGTTCTGTTTATGTGATGGACTATGTTTATTCATTTGCATATGTTGAACCAGCCTTGCATGCTGGGAATGAAGCTGACGTGATCATGGTGGATAAGTCTTTTGATATGCTGCTGGATTTGGTTTGCCAGTATTTTATTGAGGATTTTCACATGAATGTTCATCAGGAATATTGGCCTGAAGTTTTCTTTTTTTGTTGTGTCTCTGCCCAGTTTTGGTGTCAGGATGATACTGGCTTCAAAAAACGAGTTAGGGAGGAGTCCCTCCTTTTCAATTATTTGGGATAGTTTCAGAAGAAATGGTACCAACTCCTCTTTGTACCTCTGGTAGAATTTGACTGTGAATCTCTCTGGTCCTGGGCTTTTCTTGGTTGGTAGGCTTTCAATTACTGCCTCAATTTCAGAACTTGTTATTTGTCTATTCGCAGATTTGGCTTCTTCCTGGTTTAGTCTTGGGAGGGTGTATGTGTCCAGGAATTTATCCATTTCTTCTAGATTTTCTAGTTTATTTGTGTAGACATGTTTAGAGTATTCTCTGATGGTAGTTTGTATTTCTGTGGGGTCAATGGTGATATCCCCTTTGTTTTTTTTTTTTACTGTGTCTATGTGATTCTTCTCTCTTTTCTTCTTTATTAGTCTAGCTAGTCATCTATCTATTTTGTTATTTTTTTTTTCAAAAAAAGACAGCTACTAGATTCATTGATTTTTTGGAGGGTTTTTCATTTGTCTATCTCCTTCAATTTTGATCTGATTTTAGTTATTTCTTTTCTTCTGCTAGCTTTTGGACTAGTTTGCTCTTGCCTTTCTAGCTCTTTTAATTGTAATGTTAGGGTGTCGATTGGAGATCTTTCTAGCTTTCTGATGTGGGGATTTGGTGCTACAAATTTCCCTCTTAATACTGCTTTAGCTGTGTCCCAGAGATTCTGGTATGTTGTTTCTTTCTTCTCATTAGTTTCAAAGAACTTGAATTCAGCCTTAATTTCATTATTTATCCAGGAGCCATTCAGTAGCAGGTTGTTCAATTTCCATGTAGTTGTGCGGTTTTGAGTAAGTTTCTTAATCCTGAGTTCTAATTTGATTTCACTGTGGTCTGAGAGACTGTTTGTTATAATTTCACTTCTTTTGCATTTGCTGTGGGGGTTTTACTTCCAATTATGTGGTCAATTTTAGAATAAGTGCCATGTGGCACTGAGAACAATGTGTATTCTTTTGATTTGGGGTGGAGGGTTCTATAGATTCTCTTACGTTCACTTGATCCAGGGCTGAGTTCAAGTCAAATATCCTTGTTAATTTTCTGTCTCATTGATCTGTCTAATATTGACAGTGGGTGTTAAAGTCTCCCACTATTATTTTGGGGGAGTGTAAGACTCTTTGTAGGTCTCTAAGAAATTGTTTTATGAATTTGGTGTATCTGTATTGGATGCATGTATATTTAGAATAGTTAGCTCTTCTTGTTGAATTGTTCCCTTTACTATTATGTAATGTCCTTCTTTGTTTATTTTTTTAAATCTTTGTTGGTTTAATGTCTGTTTTGTCAGAGACTAGGATTGCAACCCCTACTGTTTTTCCTTTCCATTTGCTTCATAAATTTTCCTCTATCTATTTATTTTGAACCTGTGTGTGTCTTTGCACATGAGATGGGTCTCCTGAATACAACACACTGATGGGTCTTAACACTTTATCCAATTTGCCAGTCTAAGTCTTTTAATTGAGGCATTTAGCCCATTTACATTTAAGGTTAGTATTGTTATTTGTGAATTTGATCCTGTCATCATGATGCTATCTGGTTATTTTGCACACTAGTTGATGGAGTTTCTTCATAGTGTCATTGGTCTTTATATTTTGGTGTGTTTTTGCAGTGGCTGGTACCATTTTTTTTCTTTCCGTATTTACTGCTTCTTTCAGGAGCTCTTGCAAGGAAGGACTGGTGATAACAAAATCCCTCAGCATTTGCTTATCTGTAAAGGCTTTTATTTTTCCTTCATTTATGAAGCTTAGTTTGGCTGGAGATGAAACTCTAGGTTGAAAAATTATTTTCTTTAAGAATGTTGATTATTGGTCCCCAATCTTTTCTTTTCTGGCTTGTAGAATTTCTGCTGAGAGGCCTTCTGTTAGTCTGATGGGCTTTCCTTTGTAGGTGACCTGGCCCTTCTCTCTGATCACCCTTAACATTTTTTTCTTCATTTCGACCTTGGAGAATCTGATGATTATTTGTCTTGTGGTTGATTTTCTCGTTGAGTACCTTAGTGGTGTTCTCTGTATTTCCTAAATTTACATGTTGACCTGTCTTGCTCAGTTGGGGAAGTTCTCACGGATAACATCTTGAAGTGTGTTTTCCATGTTGTTTCCATTCTCCCCGCCCCCTTCAGGTACTTCAATCAATCATAGGTTTGGTCTTTTTACAAAGTCCCATATTTCTTGAAGGCTTTGTTTGTTCCTTTTCATTATTTTTTCTCCAATCTTGCCTGCCTGCCTTATTTCAGCAAGGTGGTCTTCAAACTCTGATATCCCTTCTTCTGCTTGGTCAATTCAGCCATTGATACCTGTGTATGCTTCACGAAGTTCTTGTGCTGTGTTTTTCAGCTCCATCAAGTCATCTATTTTCCTCTCTAAACTGGTTATTCTAGTTTGCAGCTCCTCTAAATGGAGGTTCTTAGCTTCTTTGCATCGGGTTAGAACATACTCTTTAACTCAGCAGAGTTTTTTTATTACCCATCTTCTGAAGCCTACCTCTGCCAATTTATCCATCTAAATCTCCATTCCGTTCTGAGCCTTTGCTGGAGACACATTGTGATCATCGGAGGAGAAGCAACACTCTAGCCTTTTGGGTTTTCAGTGTTTTTTCGTTGATTCTTTCTCATCTTCATGAGTTTGTCTGGTTTCGATCTTTGAGGCTGCTGACCCTTGGATGGGGTTTTTGTGGGTACTTTTTGTTGTTGTTCACACTGTTATTGTTGCTTTCTGCTTGTTTTACTTTCAATGGTCAGGTCCTTCTTCTGTAAGGCTGCTGCAGTTTGCTGGGGGTTCACTTCAGGTCTTATTCATCTGGTTCCCTTCTGCACGTGGAGATGTAACTCAAGGAGGTTGGAGAACAGCAAAAATGGGTGATTGCTCATTCTTCAGGGATCTCTGACCTCGAAAGGCACCAATCTTATGCCAGTAGGATTGCTCCTGTAGGGGGTGTCTGACAATCCCTGTCGGAGGTGTGGGTGGCACAGGGAAAAGGACCTGTTTAACGAAGTGCTTTGACTGTCCCTTTGTGGAGAGGGTGTGCTTTGATAGAGGAAACCCAATCATTTAGGCTGCTCAGATTCCTCAGAACTTCCAGGAGAAAAGGCTAAGTGTGCTGGTCTGCAGAGACTGCAGCCACCCCTTCCCCTAGAGCCTCAAGCCCAGAGAGCTCCGGTTTCTGGTCCCTGAGCCTCTGGTTGGAGTTGTTGGAATTCCTACAGGGAATCTCCACCCTGCAAAGAAGGATGTATCAGAGTCAGGCCTGAAGAGGTGCTCTGGCTGCAGTCTGCCACAGATGGTGTATTGGGCTGTGGGCGGCACCTCTTGGGACCAAACCATCCAGCGTCCCTGGCTCCAGCAGGGGAAAAGCATGGCCGGGAGCTATAGAGATGGATGCTCCCGTTCCCCTGCTCAGGCAGCTTAGTATGGTAGGTAGATATGAGTTCCAGTGCTGGCTGCTGATCCTCCCCTAAGGAGCTCAAGTAGCTTAGATAGCAGGCATCAGCAGCTGTGGTGCTAGTTGCCTTTTCCCCCGGGAGCTTGGCAGGCTTAGCCAGACTCCAGCTGAGAGGCTGTTGAGAATCTGTTTGGCTCCGGTGTTGGGACCATAGGCCGCAGTGGTTTGGGTTTGCAAGTGGGATCTTCCAATCTGTGGGTTGCACAGTTCCATGGAAAAAGCACAGTTTCCTCAGCTGCATAGCATGCTCATTCACCACCTCCCTTGGGTGGCAGATTGGGGGTCGTCTGCCTTGTGTGGCTTTCAGGTGGGCCACTGCACTACCCTGCTCTTCCTTCCTCTCCATGGATTGTGTCAGCTGCCTAGTCAGTTCTGATGAGAGAACGTAGGTACCTTGGTTACTGGTGAAGGATTCATACTTTAATTATGGTTCTTTTCGATGGGAGCCTCTGATCTCTGCTGTTTCTAGTTGGGCATCTTGGCCTCACCCCCAAGCATTATTATTTACTACAAATTTGGGCAAAGATCAGCTAAAATAAAAATCAATGAAAACTCTTTTTTTCCATAATATTCTACTCATTGTTAATGTATAATTCGTTATCTTATTCCCTTGGTAGCACCACATTTTTTGGGCTTTTAAATATCTCAGCAGCCTGGGATTTCACTTCCCACCCCACTCTCAAATCAGGCAGGCAAAATGTTGCTTCCCAATGAAGCAATAGTAGGCATTATCTCCTAGAAATTACTGTTCTCTATGCCTCCCCTTTCACACTCACCATCACCTATTATGACATGGAAATACACTTAATCCTTTATTATTGAAAATTTTGAAAGCTCTCATAGATTAAAAAATTCAGAAATTCTGATGATATATCATGATAAAAAGATTAAAGGATATTCTGAGTTTCCTTTACTTCATTTTCTTCTGATATGCAGACAGGTCTCTGACTTACAATGGTAAAACTTAAGATTTTTTGACCTTATCGTGGGTTAATTTGGGTAATAAATGCACTTTTGACTAATAATATTTGATATTTTTGACTTCTGATAAGTTTTTTGGGATGTAACCCCACAGTACATCAAGAAAACTCTGTACTTATAATGTAAAATTTCAGTTTTATATGGATGACATAGTCTCCCCTTTGCTATTTTACACTTTCCTAGTAACAGTTTATAAAGTTTATTTTGTTCATACAAAGCAATTATTATTTAATGGGGAACAGTTAACAGACTCCTAAAACTACCTTTGCAAAAATTATAAGAATGAGAAAATTATGACAGTGAAAGGGAACTGATCTAACCAACTCCATCTTTCCTTTAACCTCCAAACTGCTGTTGGTCATTTCTGGGAATGGGCCAAGCTAACTTTGGGAGAAATTTAGTTTCTGGTTTAAATGATAATAGCCCATCCGAAAAAGTAAACCACCATTATGAAACTAATGAAATGTCACAAGATTAGAAATTAGAAGGATGAGAGGGGCCTGAATTCCTTTAAGATGTAGAATTCAATGATTACAAGCCATTATTCTGGAGGTCACAAGATTTGCAACTTCTCCAATTACTTCTGTAAATAAAATCACTATTGTAGAACCTAAAACTGGCTGTTTAAGATGTCTAGTCAGGCTTTTGCATTTCTGAGGACCAGATGTCCCAACCTGGACCCATGATTTTTGACTCAACTGGTCTTTTGACCCCCACCCAGATGCATACTCAGCCCATGAGGTCTGTTTTCTACAACTCTAGGATTGTATCACCAGCCAATCAGCAGCACCCATTCCCTAGCCCCCTGCCCACCAAACTACCTTTGAAAACCCCTAGCCTCCACGTTTTCAGGGAGGCTGACATGAGTAATAATAAAACTCTGGTCTCTCATTTAGCTGTCTCTATGTGCATTAAAGACTCTCTCTATTGCATTTCTTCAGTCTTGAAAAATTGGTTCTAGCTGAGTATGGGCCAAGAAGAACTCAGTGAGTGGTTACACTCTTCTGGCTTGCCAAAGCAAGAATGTTAAGGATCACCTGCCATCATTAGTAAAGACTTTTAAAGAAAGAATATGAGAAAAAAAAAACACAAATTTATTTTTGAGATGCTAATATTTTATAAAGCCATGATTTCATAGTAACCAAAATCATAATAAACATATACATTTTGGAATATTAGTGATATAAAGACATTCTTACTTTAAAGATATGATGTTTTAGAACTCTGATATTCACATTTCTTTATGATAACATTAACCAAGCAGTGAGATTCCCTGTCTGACTAGAAACTAGAAGCACTGAGAGGAAACTCAGTGGAAACTAAATTTAGGTTCTGAGAAAGTTTACAATCTTGCTTACCTTAAGGAGCAAGGGACATAAATTTAAGGACAGGCCACATAAGGTGGTCACAATGACCACTTTTATAATGGAGATCACTGAATATTTCCTGGCACTCTAAGAGACAATGTACTTTAATGTAGATTATATTGATTTACCCTAAGATAACTGTTTCCTCTTACCTTGCAATAACTTGGAGCAAATCAATGCAATCTGCATTTCAATACGTTGTTTTACTGACTTCTTAATAAAGATGGCTTGAAAAATTTGATTAGAGGACAATATGCCAACACATACTAATAACTGAGGTGCACACAGGTAGGAAATTGGAGAGCAAAATTAATCACTTTATTTTTAAATCAACCAAAGCAATTAATGCTTCTGTATTCTAGAAACTTTACTGATGATGACGTGACCTTGCTAACTTTGTCATAATGTCTGAAAGGCCCAGCTTAAAAGCATTCATATTATGCTATGAAGACTATATATTACATGATTACATTAAAATACAAGCAATAAAATGCTACCAATAAATGTAAAGCAAATTCACTATGTCAGTCTCCCTCTTTTTTTCTTTTTTTTTTCTTTTTTTTAGTAATCACACATTTCCATAACTACAGAATAGTATTACTTAAATGTTAATGGTAAAAGTATTTCTTAATCTGAGTTTTTTTGAAAGTTTGGATCACCACCTTCCCATAATTGTCTTATGTTCTTATCAGTACAGATACATATTTTGAAAGCAATGGTCAGGCATGTTGATGTTTCTGTTCCCATTGTTGTCATATTGGCCAAGACTTAAGCATTATAAATCTGAAAAATGTAAAAAAGAGGGCCATGAAAGCAATACAAGTTCACCAGAATATATAATCACTATAAAGGGCTTATGTTACTCTAGGTCAATGCAAGGGGAATTGTTAATAGCATTATTTTTATGTTCCTATTACACTGAGTACTAAAAAATCACGTGAAAAAGACTATGAAGCCAATAACTCATTAAATATTTGATGCAATCAATTTAGAAGTAATATAAATGTATGCTTTTATGTGCATTTGAGCATATGGTATAGACAGAAATAAAAAGAGAGTTTATTTCTGTCCTCCAATATCAGTAACTATCAAAAACATTGTTACTACAATAATAATAATTAAAGATACGTATCTTTTAAAGACATTGTATTAACACAGTAAGAAGGCATAAAAATTATGTACTTTTACTCCAAACACTCATTTACTTTGCTAAGTTTTTACATTCTTGAATATTCAGTTAAACCCCTATATCTTTTTCTCAAACTCATATACATATTTCTCTTCTTCAGAGTCATCTTATATTTATTGTACACTATTATATCATCTTGAATTTTATTTATTATGCAATCATTTTTTCTTCCCAGGGAGGTTCTAAATACTCCACACACAAATATGTAAATTCTTCATATCATAAATTACTGGGCTTGTTTCACAATAGGACTTATAACTATTTAAGATTTGGTAAAACCTAATGAAGTGCAATTCAAACACTTCCATTCTCCTGATCACTAAGTTCCAGTCATAGTGATATTTGCAAGAACATTTCAAAATCTACTTTTATGAACCTTAGAAATTGACATTTACAAGAACATTTGCAGTTGACATTCATAAAAAGGCTAGTTAGGCCATTTAAAAGTACATTTATAGGAGCATTTACAGTTAAAAATAAATGTTAAAACCTAAGACGTGTTCTTTATCAAGTAATTTTATTACATTTTTATATATGTATCTAGTCATAGGTATGTGAATAATAACAAAGGGTGACAAATAATCAAAAAGTAGCTTTAATGCACATTCATATTCGCTTTTAACTTTATCTAAAGAATACAATTTTATCTTTACTTTTAGAATAATTTTTTATGATTTCAGCCAGAATGAAAAGTACAACTGTATATTCTGAGGCAGTTTGGATTTACCTGTTGTAGATAGGGAGATTAAAAATACATCTGCTGATTTTCATATTGAACTTTGTCTCTTAGTTTGATTACTATGATTAAAAATATTGTTAAACATTGATATTTTAGAAATTTGATTTATGGGTGTTTGAACTTTAGGGATGTGATGCCAAGAACATGTCTCATAAGAGAGGAATTTATGGTCAAAATGTTAAGTTATTAATTTGCAGAGGAATTTCATAACATTCAACATCATCTGTTGGAAAGAAAAATTTAGAAAATTTGGAAGACAAAAGAATATTCTTAGTTTAAGAATGGTTACATGCCAAAAACATTCAGCAAACATCATACTAAAAGGAAAAAATTTAGATACATTCACTTTGAGGTCAGAAAAATATAGAGATGTTTGATCTCACTGCTGTTTTTAAAAATAATGTTTGCTAGTGCTATAAGATAATAGAAAAAAATGGAAGCGATATATGAAACTTCCATTATTTGAAGATAATACGATCTTCATTGTGAAAAACCTAACAAAATTAACAAGCCACTCAAGAGTTTGGGAGAATACAATAATATTCTGCCAAATGCAAGATGAACCTTTCTGCACCAGCAAAATGCAATTAGAAAATATAGTAAGGCCTGTCATAGTAAGGTAAATAGTGTAAACAATTAAATCACATATAATTCAATATTGCGATATAGTTAGTTAATAAAATGACCTGATGAATTTGAGCAGACAGGCTGCCAGGGGCTCATAATTCTGCTGCTGGGTTTAAATGGCTTGACCCCACCAGTGGGCCATTGTCTGCTCTGGCTTCAACTTTGATATGGATGATTTTTTGAGCTTGGCATGCAGAGCCTTCCAAAAAGAACAACAGAAATAATCTGAGAAATATTCACCTGTATATTACCTATAGCTTTCTCCAAATCCAAGAAAATTGTGCAGGGATAATAGTAATGATTCAAGGACAGACTGTCTCCCTCTCTGGAGCTGCCTATATCCAGGGACATTCCCATCTTTTTCATGTTCCCTTTCGCCCTGTAAAAAATAATAACTATGATTATTTTTATCGCACTACTGTTTGTGAATGGGAATTGATAGGAATATTTAAAAAACCAATCAACTCATGTCTTAAATCTGTATTTGGTGCATTGCCATATGGTTTTACTGTATTATAGAATATAACGTTAATGCACAACTCTAAATAGTATTGAAAGCTCTAAGATCTTGGCAAATAAATGACATCATCAGGAAAATTTTGTAACTATTAACTATATTAACAAACATCATAATACCCAATTAAAATTATATGAATAAATAAAAGATTTTACATATTCATGATTTAAATGACTGATATTTGCTTGTTGAGTTAAACTAGCAACTAAATGCAACTTCAGTCATATTTTATTTAAAAATAAAAATAAAATATATCAAATCGATTATTAATATTTGAAAAAAGCATGGTGGCTTCTACTAAATATTACTACACAGTAACAAACCATAGAATACAAAACAGTGGTGTAGAATAGGAAAAAAAAAAAAAGACCTGTCTCATGTTTACATGGTAACTTGATACATGATAAAGAGGTTATTAAAATCAATAGAGAGAGGATATACATTTCCTATTTAATTCTGGAAAAACTGTATCACCTTTGGAGACTAAATGAACCTAGATCCTTACCTTATACTAAATAAAAATATGGATTCCAGATGGAAGTCAAAATGCTAGGAATATTTTAGTTAAGACAGCATGAGAAACTACACTTTAAATGGGACCCATTTAGCTCCAATAGTAAGAAAAATGTGAATTTGTTTACATCAAAATTAAGAAGGCCTTTGACTGGGAGAAGATATATGGATATACCAAATTAGAATATAATATTTAACATATGCAAATCAATCCTGCAAATGAAAAAGCAATAACAGAAAAATAGAAATAGACACCCAGGATATGAATAGCCTAAGCCTGTCTTGGATATATATCCCCAAGTCATATTAATTAGGGTCATGAAAGGAAATGTAAAATTATTTATCCTGACACTTTTTGTAGTGGTAGAAAATTGGTGGCAACTGGTATCCTCCAACAGGGATACAGATAAGTAAAATGTGTTGGATTTAACCACACACTACAAAATACCATGCATCAGTCAGAAGTAAAAACCTAAATGTTGATACACCAATGTGTATGTTTGTATCATTAAAGAATTTTTTGAGTCAAAAAAGTAAAAAAAAAAACAAAGTTGTGTTTTGACCAACTGTAGTAAGTAAGATGGCTCCTCACCCAACATCTGGTTGCCCTGTCAAGACTAATAATGTCACACTAATAAAGCATTCTGGGGGCAGCGGGGAGGTGACTCCCAAGCTGGTCAAAAAATGGCTAAGAGACCTGAGGAAGGAGATTAACTTGTAGATTTTGTGGCAGTTAGGGGATGGAACAAGAGTGGGTGTTGCCATGCATGGAAAGTAGCTTAAATGATTTGAACCTCCCATCAACACCAGAGGAGAGAGCACTCCTGCTTTCCACTGACAGCTTAAAAGCTGTCAACAAACATCAAAAAATGGAGTCAATTTCTTTATTTTAACATCTGTAGCAGAATATCATTTATATATTTCTCATCACACACACACACACACACACACACACACACACACACACACGAATATGCATTTCCTAGGAATAAGCTCACATTTAACACATTGAAGTGCACTACAGTTGAAGCCTATGCAGGTTTACTCAGGAAGAGAAAGTGAGAGTTAAGAGTTTCTCTTAAATAAGAGAAGATTCATTTGGACCTAAGAAGATATTGTTCTAGGAGTGAAAGAATATGAATAACTCAACCCTGTCTATCTATAGTTTCTCGTATTTTTGGGAGAAACTTCTGAGGTTTATGTGATAAGGACATGTATGTTTCTTACATGGACACCTTAAGCATCGCAATGTATAGGGGAAAAAAGTAGAAATCTCAAAAATGTCTATTAAGTGTGAAATAGAATAATAGATATCACAATAACAGTAGCAGCCATTGCTTGAGCATATACCGTATCCTAAAAGTTTTATATGCGTACCCTTATTGAACTGACCGTATGAATAATTCAAAGGAAATTGAGTCATATGAGGAGCTACACGGAAGATATTATACTAGAACTCGGATAATTGTCTTTACCCATTGTAGGATCTCTGTTTCTAGTGACTCAGTTATGACAGACATACTATGTCTTTCCCTCAAAGAATGTTTTATAAGCTCTGACACATTTTTATTCCTAGCACTTTATTTTAACGTTTATAAACTGTCATGAAAAATGGTACAATTTGTAGCAAGCCTGAAGATGTGCCTAAGAAGTGCTAGTGGCGTAGATTAAAATATAGGAAGAAATCTTGTTTCATAAAAATTTATATCCAGATGTATCCATTATTTTTCCTTTGCTACAGTATCCTTGGGGAACAGAGTTAGAATGTAGCTGAAAGTTTCAATAAGTGGTGAAATTTTTGTATGTTATTTCATGCTTCTATAACTAGGTCTTGAATATAAAAAATTTAAGAATAAGTAAAAATAACATTTGCGAAGTGAACAATTCTACCATTGTGGCATTCTTTTTTCTATCTAATCTAGAAAATGTTACTTAACTTGTTTTTCTTTCCTTCTTCTTCTTTTTTTTTTCCATTCTCTCTACCTGACTTGTAAAATGCACTGGTATCTGTGTGACTCCTTCCTTCACTTCTTACAGGTAAGAGATCACCAATCACCACATGTATTAAATAAAATAATAACACCCAGCCCTAATCAAGTAATCTGTCTTCCTTGTTTATTTTTCCTTCCCACCCTTCTTGTACTTATCACCATTCAATTCATTATATATTTACTTGAATATTTATTTACTGTCTGTCTCTTCTAAAATGTGAACTTCATGAAAGATATTTTATCTACCTTTAAATATATTTTCAGTGGCAAGAAAAAACAGAATTAACTTCATTGAATGACCCATTTTGTTACCAGTGGCCAGACACTGATACTTACAATGTTGGTGTTCTAATTTTCCTAACTTTTTAAAATACATATGTTGTTTAGTAATTAGTTTGTATAGAAGATACATGTTTAAGCCCTATCCATATTTTAAGCATTACAACACATAATCTCTATGAATTTATATATTTTCATAAAATATTTTGGTGATCATGTGACTATAATTTTAAAAAAATTAATATTTTATAAATTAAATTTTTGTATCAGGACAGTCTATGGATTCTATCCTCAAATGTGTTTAGTTCTCTTTGTATATTGAATACAAGGCCAAAATGTTTTTCTACTTGAATCCTTTTTATTCTTCATTTAGGATATCTTTATAAGGGGAAGTTATTTTCCATTTTATTCTTGTAAAAAATATAACAAAAACTGTTGTTTGCCTGGATAACATTCATCTCTGCAATCCTGAAATCTTTTCATAACAGGGTTTCTTATTAGTCCAATTTCCACTCTCTTTCTCATGTCCATGTACCTCTTGAAAGGCCAGAGGAGCTAGTTTCTCTTGGGTAAAAAAACCTTATATTTGTATAGAATAAACTAATTCTTTGCCAGGGAGAGGTTTACACATTAGGCTATTTTTGCCAATGTTTATTGAGAGATTGTTGGGAGCAGGAGGCTGACTTCGGGGATTTTTTTTTTTTTTTTTTTTTTTTTTTTACTCTTAACAAGTACATAGGGGAGAAATTGCCTTTTTTTATGCCTCTGGACACTATTGTGTCTGGATGTGAGAGTTAAAATTGCTGTTGTCATTAAATGACCAGGAGGAGATCTAGCCTGAGGACAAAGCAAACATATGGAGCAAGGCAGAACATAGGGAAATGCAGACAAGTGGAGTTGGACCATTGCTTATATCGTGCTTGGAGCCACTATGGTTTTGAAACTTTTCATTATATGATACATTTCCTATTGTTAGATTAAGTAAAGTTGATGTTTACAACTTGCAACCAAAAACATTCTAACTGATATAAGCAGAAAATATATCAGCGAGGTAACATTTTTAACAATAAAATTGATTTTTTAAGTTTGCTAATGTGTGTTGGTGAAGGTGGACTTTGCTTGATGTACTATAGATTAGTACAGTTACTTTGTTTACAGGCAAAAAAGTGAAAAAAAAGGATGTCATATCCTGCAATCCCATTACTTATTGTCTACTTTACAGAAACTATCATATATATGTGTATATATATATATGTGTATATATATGTATATATATATGTATATATATGTATACATATATATATGTATACATATATATATATACACACACACACACACACAGAGAACATATACAGGATATTTATTGCAAACTTGTTTTAATAAAAAAAAGTAGGAATATTCAAGATTTTTTATTATGAAGAGAATGGGTAGATAAAAGTGAATGCAATTTTGAAAAGCTGTGTTTTTCTCTTTTTAAAAATTCTGACCACTTTACTCCAGTTCACCCAAAGTTTCCATCCCTTTGAAGAGAAGTAGAAAATCATACAAATTGCAAACATGAAGTTAATAATAGCTTCTGATATGTAAAAACAAGATTATCTACCAGGAGCAGAGTTTGTGATAATGAAAGGTTTTGAGATCCTGTTCAGAATTCCTCTATAGTATAGAGAATAAACTCCTTTCACAGATGACACCTAGGTCACTCTAAAGTACTATCAATGTTATGACTTGGGGCAAGTAAAGTTATAGCTGTTCCTTTTGCGGAAAATGACAATCTGGAAAAAAAAAAAGACCAAATGAGAGAGGCAGAAAAGTAAAATGGTGAGAGGGATATTAAGAGAACACTTCTCTCAAGGCTTTGGCCTTAAGAGGAAGAGAAAAATTAGGTAAATGAGAGATGAGGTGTTGCTGTGAATTCTTCATTGGCATACCCTCTTCTCCAGTGGCAACATTCACTTGGCTATGCACTATAGTCTGTCAGAGACAGGCTCTTAGATTTTTCTCTCTCACCTCACCTTCAGTCTATTTGCATTATGGACATTAAACTGAGAATAACTGGACACATTATGGTGCCTGCTATTGCTGAAGGTGATGAAGCTGCATGAGAGAGAATCACTGGATCCTGGACCAATGGGCTGAATAAATGAAGTGGCAGACACACAGGGTTTGATTGAGGAAAATATATAGAAGACAGAGGGCTAATGAACTTTGAGGAAGATAATAGAAACAGATGAAAAGTTAATCCCTTTCTTATATTTAATTCTGAGCATTTGCAAGTCTAACAGCACCAGGTTAACATGCAACATTGCTCTAGAAACTAGAGGAAGCATAGAAAGTTATGGCCAGAGATGCCAATTCTCTCCTAAAATGTGAGTTCAAAAGAACCATACTCTTAATCCATATCTTTCTCCCTCAAGAGATATTCAAGGCATAGGTAGGATATCTAAGAGACTGATTTTATGAAGTCAAAATGAGCATGATTTAACATGCATTTTAACTTTGCGTCTATGACTAACTTTTAAACTAGATTGGGCAATTTGAGGATCAAAAAGATATACAGCACATTTTGTCTACACACCAAAGGTATATTGTGGCTTAAGAATTTTGGAGCAATTTCAAAGGAGGCAGACCTATATGTACAAACAAAGAAATATTTTTGAGACATGTTAGTAAGCGAAAAATGAAGCAGAATGTTTCAAGCAACAAATCTTTTATGTGAAGCAACATACAACCACACATGTAAAATGTAAATGTATAGCAAAAATACTGGAAAGTCCATCTGGTTAATGGTGAATACCCTCTGAGAGAAGGAAAAAGGACAAAGTCAAGTGAGACTTAGCCCTGATTGGTATGTTTTACTTTATTAGAAGGAAAAATACAGTTAACTGTACAATAATTTAAAACTTTTAAAAATAAATGAAACCCCAATTATACAAAAAATTTTAAGCATCAACCCATTGACTTGGAAGTATGTGGTGAGGATACTTCTCTGTATAGAATTAATTAGGTACACATTCATTCCAAATTTTAAGACCAAAGCAATCAAATATTTGCAATTATATGCACTTAATTTTAACAAATAAACCCACATAACTTCTGTTTGTTCAGTCTTAGCTTGGTCAATTGGGAGCAGACAGAAGAGGATATTTAGGCAGCTGTGTCAATACCTGATATACTTAGTGTAATACTGAGTTTGTAAATATTCTCAAAGTTATCTTAATAATGATAATATTCGTTGTAATTAATTGTCCAAACAACTGTGTTAAGCACTTAATATGCATCACCTCATTTAGTCTGCACATATTAAAAACTTATTACATAGACATATTATCCTTATTTTATAGATGTGGAAACTGAGGCATAGGAAATTTAAAACTAGCTCAACCAAGAGAGTACACAGATAGATAGAAATGAAGTGCAGAGTAAATTCAGGTTTGTGTTGTATAATCTATGTTCTTTATTTATAAGATAAAGAGCTGCCTTGAGTTCCAGTGATTAAATTCCTGATAAGTCCCTGTGACTCAGTTCATTTTCTTATGTCTCATTTTCTCATTAACTCTGTGCCAATATTACATCACAAGCTTCCAAGAAGAGGAGGTTCTTCCTAATGGCCCAGAAGCTATATTTGCTACCTTACATTTTAGTGTCTTCCTTGTATCTGTCCAGCTGTGGGGTAATTTTGGACAACCTCTGAAGCTTCAGTACTCTGAATGTAGAGTTGTGTTTATAATACAGCCTGCGACCTATATATTTGAACTAAAACCTCTGAGTTTGTTTCTCTCTGTGAATGTTAAAATAAAACACTATAGAGTTCTTCTTATGCAGTAGTTTTATACAATGTATTTACTCTTCCTGTCTGTCCCCATCATGATCTGTTTGCAATTTCTGTCAGAAGTCTTTCTGTTACAAACAAATCCCCTTTCAAAGGAGCATTTTAAACTAATTTGAATATATCATTTAAACACAAATTTTACAGTATAAAATTTCCCTGTCATCAAAGAGCATGCTGTCCTCTTACTGACTTGCAAATTTTCTTTTAAACAATATAAACTGCACAAATACAATGAATTCAATAAATGAAAAAGCCAAGAAATCACACAAAAAATAGGAAAACCATTAACATATAGATTAACCCCATCAAAGGGTGATATTTGATGGGATATTCAATGTGATTCATATATCATCAAATGAAAGAGCAGAAGCTTTACTTTTGAAAAGCCTCTAATTCAGCAGTCAGCCTTACTTTCGACATGAAAAGTGTAATGTGAATGCAATGTGCATGAATGCCAGTTACTAGGATAAAAGAGAAGCTCATGGTGATTAAGAGATTATAGTCCTTTGAAAGATGTAATTAAATGGCAGAAAGTTTCATTTCAGAAATTCCAAATGTATGGATTTATTTTTATTATTATTTTAATAAATTAAATACATGGGATAGTGAATCAAGATTCATAGCTCAATAATTGCATTAGATAAAAATTTTATATCATATATTTTATCAATGTAACTATTCATTGTAAGTTTTTCCTTTGATCAACAGAAATAACAAAAAATAATGTATTTTATTCTTAATACCCTTTACTGTTCCTTATAAAGGATAGAATATGAATAAACTATAAAATACATGAAAAAATAAACATTAAAATATATTTTCTTAACAAATTGTATTCACATACTTGATACTTAGCCAGTGTCTTAAAAAAGTGTTTACATCATTTACTTCAAAATTAATTTCTTTTGAAATCACTGAATTATTTCTATTGGAATCCAAAATTTCATGTACATACAGTCTCATCCATTGTCTCTTACTTAAAATTCTGTCAGATATAAGTAAGGCAAGATAAATGAAATGACTGAGTTCTTAATAACAGTAATTCATTTCAGAGCCAGAACTAGCCACCTGATTCTGTAACTCCCAGTCTGGTGGTTTTCCCATTAGACCACTGCTCAATGAAATTAAAGAGGATACAAACAAATGGAAGAACATTCCATGCTCATGGGTAGGAAGAACCAATATCATGAAAATGGCCATACTGCCCAAGGTAATTTATAGATTCAATGCCATCCCCATCAAGCTAACAGTGACTTTCTTCACAGAATTGGATAAAACTACTTTAAAGTTCATATGGAACAAATAAACAGCCCGCATCGCCAAATCAATCCTAAGCCAAAAGAACAAAGCTGGAGGCATCACACTACCTGACTTCAAACTATACTACAAGGCTACAGTAACCAAAACAGCATGGTACTGGTACCAAAACAGAGATATAGATCAATGGAACAGAACAGAGCCCTCAGAAATAACGCCGCATATCTACAACTATCTGATCTTTGACAAACCTGAGAAAAACAAGCAATGGGGAAAGGATTCCCTATTTAATAAATGGTGCTGGGAAAACTGGCTAGCCATATGTAGAAAGCTGAAACTGGATCCCTTCCTTACACCTTATACAAAAATCAATTCAAGATGGATTAAAGACTTGAACATTAGACCTAAAACCATAAAAACCCTAGAAGAAAACCTAGGCATTACCATTCAGGACATAGGCATGGGCAAGGACTTCATGTCTAAAACACCAAAAGCAATGGCAACAAAAGACAAAATTGACAAATGGGATCTAATTAAACTAAAGAGCTTCTGCACAGCAAAAGAAACTACCATCAGAGTGAACAGGCAACCCAAAAAATGGGAGAAAATTTTCACAACCTACTCATCTGACAAAGGGCTAATATCCAGAATCTACAATGAACTCAAACAAATTTACAAGAAAAAAACAAACAACCCCATCAAAAAGTGGGCGAAGGACATGAACAGACACTTCTCAAAAGAAGACATTTATGCAGCCAAAAAACACATGAAAAAATGCTCACCATCACTGGCCATCAGAGAAATGCAAATCAAAACCACGGTGAGATATCATCTCACACCAGTTAGAATGGCAATCATTAAAAAGTCAGGAAACAACAGGTGCTGGAGAGGATGTGGGGAAATAGGAACACTTTTACACTGTTGGTGGGACTATAAACTAGTTCAACCATTGTGGAAGTCAGTGTGACCGTTCCTCAGGGATCTAGAACTAGAAATACCATTTGACCCAGCCATCCCATTACTGGGTATATACCCAAAGGACTATAAATCATGCTGCTATAAAGACACATGCACACGTATGTTTATTGCAGCACTATTCACAATAGCAAAGACTTGGAACCAACCCAAATGTCCAGCAATGATAGACTGGATTAAGAAAATGTGGCACATATACACCATGGAATACTATGCAGCCATAAAAAATGATGAGTTCATGTCCTTTGTAGGGACATGGATGAAATTGGAAATCATCATTCTATGTAAACTATCGCAAGAACAAAAAACCAAACACCACATATTCTCACTCATAGGTGGGAATTGAACAATGAGAACACATGGACACAGGAAGGGGAATATCACACTCTGGGGACTGTTGTGGGGTGGGGGGAGGGGGCAGTGATAGCATTGGGAGATATACCTAATGCTAGATGACGAGTTAGTGGGTGCAGTGCACCAGCATGTCACATGTATACATATGTAACTAACTTTCACATTGTACACATGTACCCTAAAACTTAAAGTATAATAATAAAAAAATAAAATAAAATAAAATAAAAAGAAATTATAAAAATACTATTAAGAAAATGACAATATGTGAGCTTAAAAACGCGTGAGTGAAAGAATAGTACTTAAACCCAGCCATGTCACATGGCAAATGGTTTCTAACAAGAGACCGATTTCTCTCATCCTTAAAAGTGAGCATAGGAGGACAATGGATTAAACTGAAGAGATTTTATTTAATCAGCTGTCCTCAGGATTTTGTATGACCAGTTTCCCTCCCATGACCCTTTTCTATCCCACTGACAATGTAATTTCTCATCTTTTCCTTTTTCTTTTCTACTTTTAGACGAATAAGAATAAATCACATTTTTCTCCAAGTATATTACTTAAGTTTCTATTAATTGTAATACAAATGTTGGCTCTTCATGTAGAGAATGATAACTACACAGATACAGTAGGGAAGTAAGCATAAATAGAAACAGAAAGATAATGAGAGACAAATGGTAAACCTATACATAAAAGTAGGAATATTATGTTCTGATATTATTTCAGTGTTTGTAATCTCACTTCTTATTTTACAAATTTGAATTACACAAAATTATATGAAATCATATAAAAATCAAGGAAAAAATTGATAAATGATTTAACTTAAATTACAAATAATTTCCTTTTATGACATTACAACATACTGAGTTATTATATATGTAAAGCAGACCATGGGGTAATTCTTCTGTTTCATGTGTCTATTTTGTTAGTTTACCTTTTATATTTGTAATTCCTTTTTAGTTAAAAAATGTCTTTAATCCTATCCACTTTTGGAACATCATAACCTAGTGTGGGACATGTGTTTCATGTTTTGATTGTGAAACATACTGATGTTCAATATTATGTTTACTCCTGGTTGTTAGCTGGATTTGCCAGTTAAATCCGTCATCTGAGGCTAGTTTAATTTACTGAGATAATCTGTAGCAACCCAAATGCAGAAAGATTGATGCATTTTGAGAATGTTTCAGCCAAAGTGCTTCTCAATAGTCTTGATTCTGTGAATTTTTCACTGACATGTTAAAAGAAAAACTTCTTTTTCCTGGAAATTTTCTGGGGAACACAGATTAAACAAGCAATGCCTCTGCTATGTTAGAGTTGCCTTCCATTGAGTTGAATCTAGCCTGAGGTTTTTGAAAATGTTTGTAGGATTCACCCTAATTTTTTAAAATTTCAAAGTAACGGAAATGTTGAAAGTGTGAAATATAATCAATCTCATGCTCTTTACTCTAAAATTATCAACTATTACCATTATCCTACTTTATCTCTCTAGCTCTCCACATATGTATGTATATATGTACAATATATGTTTGTAAATTAATATTAATAATGTTAATAAAACTTACAGGTTTTTTTGTATCTTTAGAGATAATATGATTTTTCTCCTTAGATCTACTATAACGGGTAAATACATGAATGTATTTTCTAATACTGAACCATGCAAAAATTTCTGGAATAAACTCCACTTGGTCATCGTATATTATTTTTAATATTCTGCTAGATTCTATTTATTTAGAAGTTTTGCATCCATATTTATCAGCGAGATCAGTCTGTAATTTTCTTTTATTGCATTGTCTTCAACAGGTTTAGATGTAAACATTTTACCGTCTCAATGAAAAGAATTAAGCTTTCCTTTTTTTATTTCTTACATAGAAATTTACCTGTTTAAACCACTTCTACTGTAATCAATTTTTGTTAATGTTATTTTCTCAAGACATTGTTTATCTAGATTTGAAGTTCATTTTCATAGTTATGCAAAGTGGTCATAAAATTACTAATATACTCTCTTTATATATATTTTATTTTTTCCTTAGCATGTATTGTTCTGTAAATTTCTAGTTTCTTCTGTTTTGCTTTCAAAGATTTGGCAATGATTTGCATATTACATAGACCTACTATAAATAAATACACACACACACACGTATTCCTTAGCTACTGCCTTTATTTTTTCCTGGCAGTCTTAATTTCTGCTTTTACCTATATTACTTCCCTACTTACGTTCTATTTAGGTTGACTGTTTCTTATTTTATTTGAGAATATTTTTCATTCATTTTTCTTATTTTACTTTTATTAATATGTGTTTATATGGATAATAAAATGCTATGATTTTTCTTCAACTCATGGCTTAAACTTTAACTTGTATGTTTTGATATCACATGTTTTAATTGTCAGTTTTAATATAAATACTGTAAGTGTTTGGTTTCTAATTCTCTTTTTTTTTGGTTTCTAATTCTCCTTCAGCTATGAACAGATTAAGAATTTTTAAATTTCTACGTAAAATGACTTTGTCCTTTTTAATTTGATATTAATTTCTAGTTTTTTGAACTGTAATCAGAAAGTGCTACCAGTGTTACATCTGCATTTTGAAACTCATTGAAATTTTGTTTTTTTACCTTATATTTGATCATTGGATGTTCCATGTAAGCTTGAGAGAGTATATTCTTTATTATCACCTTGGAAAGTGTGATATATATTCATACAAATTAAATTATAATACTCTTATTTTTTGCCCACTTGACTCAGTGATGTGTTAACGTCCTGTGATAATAGTGTATTTCAGTCTATTGCTGCTTCTGTTTTTTGTAGTTTCCACTTTAGGTGGTTTCTGCCTTATTGGATGCAGAGATATTCAAAACGGCTTTGCTTACATTGAGAGTTGAGACTGTTATAAAGTGTCGTCATTTGCTACATGTTAAGCTTTATCCCAGAATCTACCTTGAATAATATCAGGATCACAACCCCTGCTTTCTCATAATTTGCATTTTCTAACATACATTTGTCCATGCCTTCCTTTTTAAGACTTTCTTAATTTTATCATTCTTTGTGTGTTTTTTACATATAGTTTGGAGCTGGATTTTACTTTGTGTGACAATCTATGCATTTTGTTTTTCTAATAGTTAAGTTAAATTTACACATTGATATTGCCGATTTGTTTGGACTCAGCTTGATAATATTTCATTTGCATTTATTATTTCTATTTTTCTTTTATGTGTATATTTTCTTTGCTCCTTTTTGTGTTACTTTTGGTTTTCAGGAAGCTACAATTTCTGCTCTAATTATATTTTTATACCTTGTATATCTTTTATAATGTCTTTTTTTTTCTTTTTTTTTTTTTTGAGAGACGGAGTCTCTCTCTGTCACCCAGGCTGGAGTGCAGGGGCGCGATCTCGGCTCACTGCAAGCTCCGCCTCCCGGGTTCACGCCATTCTCCTGCCTCAGCCTCCGGAGTAGCTGGGACTACAGGCGCCCGCCACCACACCTGGCTAATTTTTCGTATTTTTAGTAGAGACGGGGTTTCACCGTGTTAGCGAGGATGGTCTCCATCTCCAAACCTCGTGATCCACCCGCCTCTGCCTCCCAAAGTGCTGGGATTACAGGCGTGAGCCACCGCGCCCGGCCTTTTTTTTTTTTTTTTTTTTTTGAAATGGAGTCTCGCTCTGTCGCCCAGGCTGGAGTGCAGTGGTGTGATCTCGGCTCACTGCAAGCTCTGCCTCCCTGGTTGACGCCATTCTCCTGCCTCAGCCTCCCGAGTAGCTGGGACTACAAACACCCCCCACCATGCCGGGCTAATTTTTTGTATTTTTAGTACAGATGGGGTTTCACCGTGTTAGCCAGGATGGTCTCGATCTCCTGACCTCATGATCTGCCCGCCTCAGCCTCCCAAAGTGCTGGCCTATAATGTCTTTTGATCACACTTTTCTTGCTAAGGCCTGCACTGTTTGCTGTGGGAGCTTTAAAACATAATCTTTATTTGCAACCAGAAGACAGTCAATGATATTATTTTATTTCCCCTCTTTTATTTGCTCATTCTCTTCTTTAATCTTTTCCAGTTGTGTACTATGGTAGAACATAAAACATTTCATTTAACTCCCTTGTTGGCCGTCTTCTTACTTTTTGAGTCTTAGATATGTTCGCAGTTCACCAGTAGTTATCTTACATTTTCCCAGTAATTTCTTGGTTGTTGGCGGTCCTCTTTTTCTAGATTCATAAGAAAGACTTAATGAGTACAGAATTACCTAAATTCTTGCACACTTAAAAGTTTTATTTTGCCTTAATATGTGAAGTGGCCTGTTTGGATATTAAATGTCTGCCTTGTACTTTCTTTCATTGAGTTTCTTGAAAATGTTGTTCAACCTGCCCTTCTTTCTATATTGCTATGAACAAATCTGATGCCAGACCAATTCTCTCTCAGGTAAGTGACTTGTTTGACAACACAATCAGAGGAATTTTTTTTTTCATATTAAAGTCCATTAATTTTATTTGGGTGTGCCAAGAAATTGACTGTTGTGAAAAAGTTTGCCAGGTGTATACGATTACTGTCAATATATAAATTCAACTTCTCTTTTATTTGGGGAAAATTTCTTGAATTATTAACAATTAGTTCGGTTTCTTTTTTGTTTTAACTCTTCAGAAACTTTAATAAATATATGAATGTTGTATCTTTTTGTTCTTTTACCTCTATCAGTTTCTCTATGAACATCATTTTACTTCTTTATTAAATTTTTAAATTTTATTTTATTTTTATTTTTGTTCATTAAGGCATGTTCATCAATATGTAATTTATTGCACTTTATTATGTTTTAAATATTGGCTTTAATAAACTGTATAATGCTTTAATGAAAATTATTCTCACTTGAGCAAATTTGTAATCATTTCTCAATTTATTTTTTCTTTACTTTCATTTTTACCTGATATATCATTTGTGATATATTTCTCATTTCTATCATTTTTTATTTTCTGTGCCTAATTCTGGATGCAATGCAATTTAACTTATTTCTACAAATACTTCTTTAAGGATTGTTTGAGGCATTCTGTTGGGCTTTTCCTTTGCTTCATATTGCTTTGTGTGTGTGTAATGGTATCAGGATGATTTTTATCACAGAAATGTTTATTGTCATTTTCTCTTTTCTTCTTGTGTTTTATAGAGGTTTTGTCAGAAATTTTCTGTTTATTTGCAGATACTGAACAATAAGAAGTGATTCTAAGCAGGCAGGGTTAATAGTTTTGGGTGTCTGAGTTGGCTTCATATTTTGAGAGTAACTTTGTTTCTTAATATTGGCTGCTGCACTTTCATTAATCATTTTCACCTTTTTAGTGAAGAGAGTTTTTAAAAATAATTATTGTGATTCTTTATTGATTTCAGAGAGTGATTAGTTTTTGTCCCCTTATCCCTGGACGTATCTTACATATTTTTTTTCTACCTTGCAACCTAGCCACAAAGGTTGTATGTCCCCTCCAAATCACTTTCTTTCTCTTGGAAGTGGTCCCCCTAAGGTTGCCTCCTCAGGTCCTGCATCCTCTTAAGTTCCTCTCATTTGGTTTTCCAGCATCCCATTTTAAAATCCACCTCGTGTCAGCCCTGTTCTCAGTATTTTCTCATGTAGAGTGAGATGCTCTGACTTTGAAGGTAATTTTATCTGTATTTCAAAATGTTTAGGGTCTTGATAAAAGTTTTCTTTGCCGTATAGTCTCCACCATATTTTTCATGGGTTTCAGGGATGGATCTTATGGTGTAAAATTTTTCCCCACTTACATAGAAAGAATTTGTAGTACTCATTGATTTTTGTTTGAATTTTGCTATAGAACTGGATTGAGTTTTAGCTCATATGGTTTTATATTTTTCTCCTTGAGGATCTGGTTTTTAGATTATCAGTAGTCAGCAATCATTATCCCAGAAGATCCTATAAGATTGTGTTTAATTTTTCTTAAAGTCATCATCTACATAAAAAACAGAATCTCTCTCTGTGAACATAGAAAATATATGACACATGAAATGTAACTATAGATTTAAACACATGTTTATACCAAGAGGCAATAGAATTACAGAAAATAGGAAGCTTTTCAGAGACTCATAAATGTAAATTTTTTTAAAAGGAATTTGGAAAATCATATTACTAAAGACCAATTCCACAATCTTCTTAAAATTATTAAGTAAACATTATTACATCTATATATTAATGTGGTGTACCAATTTACTACATTCATATTATTTCCTACCCCAAATATTCTGCCTGAAATTTAGAGGCCTTCAGCTAAATAATATAGATGATTATTCTGTTTGCATTTCACTTCTCTTTGTGAGTATAGTTAAATTTTCTATAATTTCTTAAATTCCTGTAGTTCTACATCAAAAGAAAATAGGAAGCACATGTAATGATTCCTGATTTAATATAGAATATTTTACAAGTGAGAATACTATGTAACCAAATATAATATTCACAGATTATAAAATATGCTGAAATCAACAGTATGTAAAGAGTAAAAATGAGTAAGTACATTAACAAATAAAAATGTTCAAGGGCAGTTCAACAGTGATTCAGGCAATAAAGTTCTGCACTCAGTCAATAAATGTGTTTTGTTTAAAGTCTGCCTGGAACATTCAGCTAACCTCAGAAAGACTCGAGGCTAATGGACTATATCACACATTAATGCCGATTGCATGGCCACCTGGCATCTCTACAGACAATACAGCCAAAGGCCAGTACTCTAGTGGTTAGTAAGCTAATGTGAGATTTCTGACAACAGAGTAATATCAGCAGGAAGTACATCAATTGGGCAGCTCAGAGTAAAAAACTACATACAGCCAGCTCCAGTGAAGTGCATCAGCATGGGACAAGCAAACGGAAAATGCTAGAAATGCAAAATCCAAGAAAAGTAAAAACAAAAGCTGCCTCAGATTACAACCTAAGTTCACTGATATGCAAAACATCAAATACTAGTATTTTGCAACTAACGATATTATGCAAAACATCAAATAATGTCCTGCACTCAAAAACACACACACATCCATAATTATAATAGAGGACGTATACACATGCAACTTTTTTCAAGCAAGTGACCAAGACATTTTCTGTGTTCCAAAATTATACCATTATTCAAAATACTTAATGCTGATAATGAAATAATGGATGTGTTAGTCCGTTTTCATACTGCAATAAAGAAATACATGAGACTGGGTAATTTATAAAGGAAAGAGGTTTAATTGACCCACAATTCCACATAGCTGAGGAAGCCTCAGGAACATACAATTATGGAAGAAGGTGAAAGAGAAGCAAGGAATTTCTCCACATGGTGGCAGAAGAGAGAAGCAAGCAAGAGCAGGGAAAACTGCCTTACACAACCATCAGATCTTGTGAGAACTCACTATCATGGGAACAGCATGAGGGAAACGGCTCCCATGATACAATCAGTTCCCACCTGGCTCCTCCCTCCATATGTGGGGTTTATGGGGATTACAATTCAAGATGAGATTTGGGTGGTGACACAGAGCCAAACCATATCAATGGATATTCATGATCAGAAAAGCAAAATTAACCTCAGAAAAATATAACACTAAAATGGATAACTGTGGTTCAAGAGATGTATAAAACAAACCATAAACACACAATGACCAAATCCTAGGGAAACTCCAGGCGGTTAGGAACTAGTTTGTGCATTTTTTTGGAGAAGATGGGTTGAGGAAGTGATTTTTAACTCTATCTTTATCTCATCCTCTCATTGACCTGAAGAGTCACTGTCTGTTCCCATGCTAACTATGGGATTTAAAATAGTATCAACCTGCAGATCACTAGGTGCCGGTGGGGTGATACCATGGCAATTCTAAACACTGCTGTGGTAAGATGATGAATGGAAACACAGGTTGACCAGTTGTCTTAGCCATCCTTTTCTCTAAATTATCTCTTTAAACTCTCAGGGCTGGCAGGTGGTATTCTAAAAGTCATTTTCTCCTTACACACTGCTCCTTTTGGAAACTTTGAAAATCAATTTTGAAGAGAGAAGTAGTTGGTGGAGGGGTAGCATACAAGGATACACAGTGATGGTTCTGAGATGCCTGTGTTTTTCCATGCCAGAGCCCATCGTGTCCTTCTCTCACTCACCAGGAGGGATATGGGCAGGGCCTCGACTTTGCTCCTCTCTATACACACATTACCAGATACGATAAATCCAAACTCCAGAGAAGAGAAGGTCAAGGTCAATAACTAATTATCTGTATAGAATACAACCACTATAAAAGGTAAACAGGATGCTGACAACATATACCAGATGCAGCAGAACTATAGGAAAAGGAGACCAGGCATGTAAAATAATACGTAATACCAAAAAGTTAAAAGATGATATTGATTATACAAACACAACTGCCAATGTGATCTGAAAGCACATATTTTTAAAACATACATATAATTATATGTTAATATTTATGTATAACTTATTTCATAAACTAGTATTTTAATGAGAAAGAGGGCCCATGTTTCGTTACTTTTCTCTTTTGTTTGGCGTTCCTTTTCCAAATGTGTATTTGTATACTCCCACATACCCACACCTACACTCACCCACAGACATAGTTATGTAGTGCTGGGGAGAAAGGTTTAGTCACTCTTTATAAAAATGATATATTATTCAGAAATCTTGGCATATTCGTTAATCCAGTCTACACTAATTGGTAGATATGCCACCAAGACAACTAACAACTAATACTGCCCTAATTAAAACTTTTTATGGAATCTATTTTTGGATATGATGTAAAATATTGATCCAATTTTATTTTCTTCCTAGTGAATTTTGATCTATCTACATATGTTAAATATGTTTCACACTGAATTAAAATAAATGTGTTATATTTTAAGTAATAAAAACAGTAATGATCTATTTTGTTTCTCTATTCTATTATCTGATTTCTATAAAGTACTACCTTGCTGTTCATATTTTTCATATGGTTCTGTTAGAATTTTTATATGTATATTTCAACTTTCAGGTACTTTTTCAGATCCAATAAATTGAATTGTATTAAATTTATATATTTATTTTGGTACAACTAAGATTTTTCTTATTTTGGATTTTTATTCAGGAAGGATAAAGAATATTTTGTCTTCCCGTTGGCTAAGATCATGTTTTAAGGTTTTCAACAAATACTGTATTTTTCTTCATATTAATGCTGTCCCTTTTTAAAAAGTCATTTGCGTCTAATATACATACTTTTTTTGGTCTCTATTTTTAGTGGAACTTTTTTTTCTATTTATATTTCTATGTGCTTAATGGTTATGGAGAAAAGGTATTGGATCCAAATGCTCACACAGAATTCTATTATTAATTAGAATTCTTAAAGTAGCATATTTGGGCTTTCAAAGCATAAAATCCTATCAGCAACAGAGAAAGATAGTTTATTCTATTTTTTTCTGATAATTTAGCCAATCATTTGTTTTATTTATTTATAGCATTTATTAGAACCTCCAAAGAGTAGTAATATCAATGATGATAAAGGACATTATTGTTTTAACCTAATTATTTTAGTGTTTCTCTATTTAAAATGGTATTTGCTGTTCAATTTTGTTAGACTTTATTAGATTTAAATAGCATTTGTTCTTATTTTGTTTAGTTCTTTTGTTAAAAATGACATTTCAGTTTTATTAAATGCCTTTTTCTCCTTAACTGATGTAAACATATAATGCTGGCTTCATGAAACAAACTAAAAAACTTTCCATAAAAAACTTTCCATCTTCTTATATGTTTCCTATGATTTAGAGAATTGAAACAATATTCTAGAAATGGTAGATTAGATTCAACTGTGAACTTTTTTAAAAATAATATTTCACTTTAAACCTTATTTATTTTTTCTTATGATAATTGGAATGTCATGCTTTTTCATTTCTTCTTAATGAAATTTTGGCAATTCATATTTGGGTTTAAAAAGTTTTCATTTCTTTAGGTTTTAAATTATTTTTTATTGAGGTTACAGGTAGTTTTCTCTTACAGTTTCTGGATTTTCTTTTCTTTTAGTTTGCCTCTACTTCCTGTTTTCTAATTTTATCTATTCTCCTTTTTTTTCTATCATTAGGTTCATGAGTGTTTTATCTATTTTAGTTATTGATTTAAAGAACATGCATTTGCATTTTTCTTATGCTCTTTTAAAATTTTCTATTTCAAGATTTCAAGCTGTAGGACCTTCCACAAAATATTAAATGGGTTAGTCCTTCTCTCTTCATTCTTTTATGGAAAAATAATGTTGAAATAAACAAGTAATAAAACTAGAAATTATCTCTACATCTTAAATTGGAAATAAAAACTCAATGTTTGTTGTTTGTCCCTTCTTTTTTTCATAAATTAAGCATACAATATAATTTTCGGAATACAGTGGACCTTTGAACAACTTGGGGTTAAGAGAGCAAACTCTCTGTGTAGTCAAAAATCCACATACAAAGAATCAACTTTTTATTTTGTCGATTCACATGGTTACTTTCAAAATACCAATGTCATTTTTCATACAATTAAAAAAAAGAATTTTTAAGTTCATGTAACACCAAAAAAGAGCCAAAACAAGGCTAAGAAGAAAGAACAAAGCCAAAGGCAGCACATTACTTGGCTTCAAATTATAATTCAAGTGTATAGGAACCAAAACAACATGGTACTGGTATAAAAATGGACATACAGATCAATAAAGCCAAGGAGAGAACACAGAAATAAAGCTACATACCTACAACCACCAATTTTTGATAAAGTCAATAAAAGTAAATAATTGGGAAAGGATACCCTATTCAATAAGTAGTCATAGGAAAACTAGCCACATGCAGAAGAATGAAACTGGACAAATTTCTCTCACCATATCAAAAAATTAACTCAAGTGAATTAAAGACTTACATGTAAGACCTGAAACTATAGAATTTCTAGAAGAAAACATAGAAAAAAACTCTTCTGGACACTGACCTAAGCAAAGAATTTATGACAAAGATGTCAAAAGCAAATGCAACACAAACAAAAATAGATAGGACTTAATTAAACTAAAAAGCTTCTGCACAGCGAAAGAAATAATCAACAGAGTAGACAGCTTACAGAATAAGAAAAAATCATTACAAATTATACCTCCAAGAAAGGACTAATATCCAGAATCTACAATGAACTCAACTCCAGAAGAAATAAACAGTCCCATTAAATAGTGGGTAAAAGGCATGAACAGACGTTTTCTAAAAGAAGACATACAGGTGTCCAACAAATGTATGAAAAAATGCTCCCAACATTCGTTATCATCAATTAAGTGGAAATTAAAACCACAGTGAGTTATTGTTCTATACCAGTCAGAATGGCTATTACTAAAAAGTCGAAAAACAATAGGTGTTGGTGCATGGATGCAGAGAACAAGGAACTCTTATACACTGTGGGTGGGAATGTAAATTAGTAAAACCTCTAGGGAAAACAGTATGGATATTTCTCTAAGGACCAAAAGTAGAACTACTATTTGACCCAGCAATCCCACTACTGGGCATCTACCCAAAGGAAAGTCAATCACTACATAAAAAGGACACCTACACTGTTATGTTTATCACAGCACTATTCACAATAGCAAAGTTGTGAAGTCAACCTAAAAGTCCAGGAATAGTTGAATGGATTAAGATAATATGATATATAAACAAAATGGACTACTATGCAGCCACAAAAATATGAAGTCATGTTATTTGCAGCAACATGGTTGGAGCTGCAGCCCATTCTCTTAAGTGAAATAACTCAGAAACAGAACATCAAATACTGTATGTTCCCATTTACAAATGAGAGCTAAACTTTGCTTACACATAGTCATAAAAATGGAGATGATAGACAATGGGGATGCCAAAAGATGGTGGGTGGTTGGGGAATGAGGGTTAAAAAATTGCCTATTGAGTACAGTGTTCATTATTTAGGTGATCGGTATACTAGAAGCCCAATGCTTGCCATTAGGCAATATATCTATGTAACAAACCTGCCCAAGTACCTCCCTGAATCCTTTTTTTTTTTTTCCTTTAGAGACAGGGTCTTGCTGTGTCACCCAGGCTGGAGTGCAGTGGCTCAATCACAGCTCACTACATCCTCAACCTCCAAGGCTCAAACAATCCTCCCAACTCAGCCTCCCAAGTAGCTGGGAGTACAGGCCCATATCACCACACCAAACCCTACTAATTTTTGCATTTTTTTTTTTTTTTGTAGTGGTGAGGTTTTACCATGTTGCACAGGCTGGTCTCAACTCCTAGGATTAAGCAATCCGCCAGCCTTGGCCTCCCAAAGTGATAGGATTAAAGGTGTGAGCCACTGTGCCTGGCCTCTGAATCTAAAATTTAAAAATAATTTTAAAATCCATGTACAACTTTTTGCCTCCCCAAAACTTAACTACTAATAGCCTACTTTTGTCTGGAAGCCTTACCAATAACATAAAGAGTTAATTAATGCATATTTTGTATATGTATCATATCCTGTATTCATAGAGTATAGTAAGCTAGAGAACAGAAAATGTTAGTAAGAAAAGTATAAGGTAAAGAAAATATATTTACTATTCATTAAGTGAAAATGGATTATCATAAAGGTCTTCTTCCTCACTGTCCTCACATAGAATATGCTGAGGAGAAGGAAGAGGAGGGATTGGTTTTGCTGTCTCAGGAGTGTCAAAAGTGGAAGAAAATCTACCTATAAGTGAACTTGCACAGGGCAAGCCTGTGTTGTTCAAGGATCACCTGTATACTGTTATAAAAAATTATCTATATTTGTAAATTGGATGAGAAGAAAGAATCTGTAGATTCACAAACCATTTAAACAATGTGATAACTATCACTCTGCCTGGTTTCTCATTCATCATTTGTCTATCACTTTTGCTTTATTATTTAAGTTCTGAAATTGATCATAGAGAATTTCATTTCCTTCAAGTGGCCTACCTGATTATAAGCATCTTTTCCCTACTTTTATTTTCTAACCACTCATTTATGCACTAAATTCTGCTTTCTACTGCTGTGAAATTTTACCTTGTTTAGGGATCTTTTTAAGTATATGTTTCATTGATATTATGTACATTTCATGTGTTTCCATTGTGATCTCAAATTGTAAAAGTCCACTGTCAGTAATCACACCTATAGCACTACCTTAGTACAATTCTTGTAAATAGACACGTGTTGAGTGTAAATACTATCTGTTTTGACAAGCAGATTTAGTCTACTGTTTTGCCTTGTTCTGTGGTAAAAGGTTGAACTACTAGCTCTTTCATGACTGGCAGTCATTTACCGTCATTCATATAAGATATTTCAAAGGGAAAATAGGTTTTTTTTTTTACCCTTTCAGATATCATTTGTTCCTTCTCTTGATGGTCTTTATTTATTTATGTAAGTCCATGTCTCACCTATGTCATTTTCCTTCTCACTGAATAATTTTTTTTCGACATTTATCATAGGGCAGGTCTGATGGTGATGTATTTCCTTACTTTTTGTTTGTCTGAGAAAGTACTTATTTCTCTTTCAGTTTTGAAGGGTAATTTCACTAAATATAAAATTCTAGGTTGGTGTGTATTTTCTATTAAAACACTTAAAATATACTGCACTATCTTCTTGCTTTCATGGTTTCCAGTGAGAAGGCCACTCATTCTTGTTTCTCTGTAGGTCAGGCTCTTCATCCTGCACCCGCCTTCTTTAAAGTTTCTTTTACTTTTGGTTTTCTACAGTTTAAATATAAGTATACTTTTGTTGGTATTATCCTAATTGATATTATCTGAGCTTCCTGGATTTCTGGTTTGGTATGTATCACCAATTTGGGGATGTTCTTAGCCATGAATATATCAATATTTCTACTTTCCTGTCTTTCTTCTACTATGGTATTCCAATTGCACATGTGATATGCCTTTTGAAATTGTCTCATAGTTCTTGGATGTTTGGTTTGAAATTTCTCTCTCTCTCTCTATATATATATATATATATGTATATATATATAATGTGCATATATATAATTATACACACACACACACACATAAACTTAGATTTTAGTTTGGGAAATTTCTGTTCACCTATCATTAAGCTCACTGCCTTTTTTTTTTTTTAATCTGTTTCCAGTCTACTGGTGTAATGCCCATCAAAGACATTCTTCATTTCTATCACGGATTCTTTCATTTCTAGCATTTCCTTTTGATTCTTTCTTAAAAGTTTCATCTCTCTGTTTACATTATCCATCTTTCCTTATGTGCTGTCTACTGTTTCCAGGAGAGCCCTTAACATAATCATAGGGTTTAAATCATTTTAAACCCTGCCCAATAACCAAAATCTCTGCCATATCTGAGTCAGCTTTTGATGCATGCTTTTTCTATTCAGACTGTTTATTTTCTTGCCTTTTAGCATGGCTTGTGATTGTTGTTGTTGTTGTCGTTGTTGTTGTTGTTAGTTATACAAGATGAGTTAGGTAATAGGAAATTGAGTATACAGGGCTTTAGTTTTTAAATGAAGTTTTAAGTTAATCTGGCAAAGAGTTGAACATGTTTTATATTGCTGTAGATGTAGTTATTGGAGGCTTCAAATTCCCCTAGTGTTCTTGTTGCCTTATCCATTGATTTTGAGTTTGTATATCTCTTTAGAGAGAATGTGTGTCTTGCAGCTTTTTCAGCTATAATTCACTGTTATTACAATGAAAGCTTGTTGGTGTGGTGGTAAGAATTGAGGAAGCAGGAGCATTCTAAAATTATATAATTAAATCTTAGTTTTTTTGGTGGACCTATGTCCCTGTACTGTAAACTCACAAGTGTTTCTTAGCTTCCCTTCCTCAGATGATATAAGAATGATATAAGAAAGAAAGGTAGAGGAGGTTAAAGAGACAAACAGCAAGTCTTTGTTAGGGTAAATGCATGGGCATACTTCACAATGACTGCTCTTCCCCTCCCACGTACAGAAGCAGGAGGGGATCTTTATTCTATTTTCACCATGATAACATGGTAGTGTTCCTGTAGGCAAAACTCATGAAATTGAGGTCCTGCCATAAAACTGTGGCTCCAGGAGTTTATAACTCTCACACTGTCTACATACAGTTTCCAGCTATCTTTCAAAATTACAATTTAAGTGCTCCTACCAGTTTATGTTCCCAGTAGCCTCTGTACGTAAGCCATTCTTAACTGTGACTCTGAATTCTTTTTTTCTCTCTAGATTTCAGAGGGATGGTTTGCCCTGTAACTTCTGTTTTCAGGACAAGATGCTGATCTTTAGTTTGTTCAGTATTTTTTTTTTCTTGTTGTAAGATTGGGAGTGATAATTTCCAGGCCTTTGCAGGGCTAAGTTGAAACTAAAGCCCCTTACACAATTTGTAGAACCAGGGTTTCTACATAAAATAAATGTTTAGAAATTTAAATGTATAAACATAGCTCTATCTTTTCTTCTTTGTATAAATAATAGTACTACTATTCTTAAAGGAATAATTCTTTGAGTTTATGTCTGTAGCTGACAGAATTTTTACCAGTTACATAGAAACCATTTAGAAGAAATGTGCAATGATTCTGTCCTTTCTATGAAAATTTTCAGAGGATTAGCGCTTTTGGCATTGAAGTAGTATGCATATATCTATGGAAAAGTTATGTATTGAATAGAGTGTTTACAAGCTAAAGTTATAGGCAATCATGAAATAGTTGAAAATCGATACTGACTTATTCCTTTAGTCAACATTTATGTATGTGACAGGATAGGACATTTCCTTTTCTCTCCTCTTGTCCCAGATTTACCTCTGGTATGCACTGTGTAAATATGTGTCTGTGGATGCACCTGCACATATGTGTATGCACACATACTTAATGTAGTATGGCATCACATTTAGACCATGAGTGGTGATCAATATTAGCATGACAGCAGCATTTTTTTTTTCAATAAGAGACTTTACTTAATATAATATGAGAATTTCTCTTGACCTGCCAGGATGGCACTTGAATACAAGAAATTCTTGGATCTCTCTTGTAAGCCAGAGGTAAGGGCAGTTAGGAGGCAGAACTTACAGAGAAGGCAGGAAAGAAAAAGTGAAGGTGTGCAAACTTCATCAGCATGCAAATAAGAAAACAAAGCAAAGAAAAAATACATATTCTGACCAGCATCTGATGCTCAAGTGTATCTGTAATTAGACAACAATAATCATGAGATTTTTAAAGGAAAAATTTGTTCCAGACATCCTGTCAAACTTTGTAGGACATAGCAAAATAAAATTTACAGAGTATTTAACATGTCTCAGGAGCTGTGAATACAAATGTTGACGAAAATGGCCTTCTCATTCCCCTCAACTTGACTAAATTTTAGACATTTTTTTTTTTTGCCTGGTGATACTCCCCTGACCTCCCTTTTCTTACAGCATTTACTTTCAAAAACTTGCAGTTGTAAATTCTTTCTCTACCTCTTTGAGATGTAAATCTCCCAGCCTCCTGCCAGTTTTACAACCCAGAGTATTTTCTCAAAGGCTAGGGAAGCATCCCTTTGATATAGAGTTATTAAGGAAGACAGGGCGCTTATCTCCCAGTCTCTGTGGGAGCATAGGCGCCTGACTCCTATAAGCACCAATGTCAGTTAACAGATTGCCTAATTGATCAAGCTCCTCTTCAACATCCTCCAGTATTTTTTAACTAGCAAGTCCCAGTGCATATAAAATCTCCCATGTTTTTGTTGCAGTGGAATTGGGTCCAATCTTGAATAAAGTCTTCCTCTCCCGTTTACCTTCATCTGGGGCAAATTTTCCTTAAAATTATAAAACGTTATATAGAGTTTTTTTTGTTTTTTTGTTTTTTTTTTTTTTTTGAGACAGAGTTTCGCTCTTGTTGCCCGGGCTGGAGCGCAATGGCGCGATCTCAGCTCACTGCAACCTCCGCCTCCCGGGTTCAAGCGATTCTCCTACCTCAGCCTCCCGAGCAGCTGGGATTACAGGCATGTGCCACCATGCCCAGCTAATTTTGTATTTTTTTAGTAGAGACTGGGTTTCTCCATGTTGGTCATGCTGGTCTCGAACTCTTGACCTCAGATCCGCCCACCTCAGCCTCCCAAAGTGCTGGGATTACAGGCATGAGTCACCGTGCTCGGCTAGAGCATTGTCTTAAAAACAACAAAATTTGGTAGAAAAAGGTAGATTAAAACTCATAAAGCAGTAGAATAAATGTGACTGTAGTAATATACACCTATTGTAAAATGGGAACGCAGAAGGGTGCCACCAATAATTGGTATGAACAAAGTGTAAAGGCTTTCTGGAAGTGAAACTCAAGGCCAGTTTTAAAGGGTGGCTAGTCCAACAGAGGAGAAAGCATAAGCATGGATCTATAGATGTTACGTGTGGTCAAGATAGAAGTTCAGACTTGTTTGAGATTAATAAGCTAAATTAAAATTGAGGCTAACAGGATCACCGGGACCTATCATGTAGGTGATATGGAGAATGAACTTGAGGAGGGAACATGAGACATGAGAAAATTAATCAAAAGTTCTTAAGAAATATTATAAGCCTGAAATAAAGAAATGTCTGTTTGGATGGAAAGTTACAGACTGATTCAAATAATACATAAAATGTGGCTCATGTCTGTAATCCCAGAACTTCAGGAGGCCAAGGGGAAAAGATTCCTTGAGCCGAGGAGTTCAAGACCAGCCTGGGCAACAGAGTGAAACCCTGTTTCTACAAAAAATAAGCAAAAATAGCTGGGCACGGTGGTGCATGCTTGTAGTCCCAGCTACAAGGAGGCTGCAAAAGGAGGCCCAGGAGGCTGAGGCAGGAGGATTGCTTGAGCCTGTGAGGTCGAGGTTGCAGTGAGCTGAGACTGCAACACTATACTCCGACCTGGGCAACCGAGTGAAAACACTGTCCCCCATGAAAAAAAATTTATATTTTTATTTATTTTATTTATATTATATAGATTCTACCTATAGATTCTAATATCTATGAGGTAGAATCACTGTGCTGTGTTAATTTAATGAATTTGGGCTGTAAGAAGACAGAGAAGAAGAGACAAGAATGTTTCACTCTCCTTTTCAGGCTCTTCTTTTGCATGACTGGTAAATATTCATGTTATAAAGAGCTCTGTCATTGCCCTCTTTGTTTTCTATATGGTATCACACAATTCCAATGGTCCTAAATATCTTCTATATGTTTTAGAAAGCTTGAAAGCTGAAATAAATGTGGGAAATCAAAGAAGTCACTGAGGACAATTTTTATATTGATGACTGCCTAGATAAGAAATGCTAGGTACGAGAATTATGACAGTGGAGTCTAGATCAAATAAACACATACATTGATGAGCTATTTTAAGAATAAAAATTGGTAGCAGCATTTGGTATTGACAAAGAGACTAAAAAAAAATTTTTTTTAGGTATCTATAATTTGCCAGGCAAAATCTAAATGTGTAATATTATAGCCAATATTTAAGGCAGCTATTATTATACTGAGATTAAAGGCTTAAAAAGTGAGATCCAATGAGTCACAGACTTGAATTTGAATCCCCAGTAGTCCTCATGCTAACTGTGAAACTTTGGGTAAGCCACTTAATCTCACTCATGCCAAAAGCTTTTTCCTCCACTCTATATTATATCATTTCCTTTTTCTATATCTTTAGAGTTTCCTTTTCTGTTAATATGAGCTCTGGGCATAAAAAAACGAAGATGTGCACTTAGAAAATTTGACCTGGCAGCTTAAGTAATTTGCCCAAGGTCATTCAGTGAATCAGTGGTAGATATAAGGGTAAGAAGCTATAATTCCTACTTCAATTTCCTGCCTGAACCATTAGATAGCTCCATCTGTTTTGATTCCATCATTAATATGAAGTCATATTTCTGTCTCTTAATAGAAATGAACTGATCTACTGGCTAAAAGTAGAGTGTGAAAAATAATTTCCATAGCTTTAAATGCATCATTATTCCTCACAAATACAATTTTGTAGGTGGTCCTGTTATACATTTAAATAATTTTTAAAAAGTATTTATAATCCCAGTTTTTAATTATACCTGTAATTAAAAACAAACAAAGTTCTTATTAACATGAGTATCAAATGGAGCTTTTTATGCTAAACATTAAGTTAAGCATTTGATATTTTGATATGTCATGGCAAAATTTTGAAATGATGAAGTGTTCATTAATTCCTGCTTAAGTTAAAAGTAACACTACATTAATTTGATCTGATTAATGTTAGCACAATGCACAGTGATACATTGATAATGACTGGCCACTTTTCTTAAGCATTAACCAGCATGTTATTATGTAGTAAATGAATTGGATAGCTTCTATAATGTCACTGTTCATTATTAATTCAGTTAATTAAATGTGTGTCATACAAATCATTAATAACTCGATAATTCACCTCTCTTGGATGTTATCAAGTCCTTTCAGTATAATACAATCCAAGAGAAATTAAATTTACAAATTTAAATGTTTCCTGTTCATGATACCTATTTCACATGACTTAGGCAAAATAATTTTTCTATTTTGAGTGCTAGATCAGGATGTTTCCTAGATACTTGCAAGCTTCAAAATATTATATCAGAGTTTGTATTACTGCACTTACTACTTTAGTCTTGTTTAACCAGATTTAATATCAGACATTTTTGATTAATTTTGGTCTTTTTTTTTCAATTTTCTGTGATATATTTTTCATAAAAGTAACTGAACACCATTTCTCCAAATTGCTTTTCCTCATAACCTGTTCCACACAACCTCCATACATTAGTCTGATCTCCCACTGCTATAAAAATACTACCTGAGACTGGGTAATTTATGAAACCTCTTTCCTAAGAGGTTTAATTGACTCACAGTTCAGCGTGGCTAGGGAGGTCTCAGAAACTTACAATCATGGAGGGAGGCAAAGAGAAAGCAAGGCACCTTCTTCACAAGGTGGCCGGAAGGAGAATGAATGCAGGAGGAACTACCAAATACTTATAAAACCATCAGATCTCGTGAACTCACTCACTATCATGAGAATACCATGGGGGAAACCAGACCCATGATTCAATTACCTCCACCTGGTCTCTCTCTTGACAGGTAGGGATTATGGGGACTGCAATTCAAGATGAGATTTGGGGTGGGGGAAACAGCCAAACCATATCACTCCACATCATTATTTTATCTGCCAATTGCCTTTAAATGCTAAGTACCAGTGACAGATGAACTCAAACTTTCAAAGAAAAAAATATAAAGATTTGCATCATTTTTCAATAATGGACTTCAAAACAGGCCATTAGAAGTTTATTTCAGTTGGATATGTGAGTCTCACAGGGAATTGAATACATGAGGTCTGAGCAGAAGATTTGGGTATTGGTAGTGTATAGCAGGTATGAGATGCCTACTGTGTAAAAAATTCTTCTACTGGATTTAATGAGGACAAACAATACACTTCTAATGTTTTTAGACACTAAATATTTGTTGGATTACATTCAACAAGGACATGTAAGACATACTGTAGCTAGAGTTCAGACCTCATTACTGTATGTCCTTCCAAGAAATGATTGCAGACCACAGGTTTTGTAATTACTCTAATGTATTTCTACCATCCCTCAATATAGAGACAACAGGAATGGCATAGTAAATTTTCCATGACCCTAAGGTAAATGTTTCTGTAGGCAAGAACAAACAAATCATATTTTAACTTATTTTATTTGCAAACATTGTATCAAACACAGTCATCAAAATATCCACTAAAAAGTGTATTCCCATTGTCAGTGAACAAAGTATTCAAATTGTTTTAATGCCATTCTATTTATGCACAAAATTGACATCCCTTACCTTTTGTTTATTTTTTATAATAACAAGTAGATTTCAGGCTCCTGCCAATAATTATTTACCACAAGAGGGTCTGCCCACAAAAGACATGATATTTTGCTATAAATATATGTTATCTTCCAAAGTGTAATCCCAGTTTGTCTGCAAGTGTGCCTCTTTGGAGTACTATGTCTAGTACTCACATGTGCAGATTTCTAAATCTATCTCATGAGCCTACCTTTTGTACACATTTAAAATGAAAGTTCAAGTCTATATGCAAGAACAATCATGAACATGCATCTTTTTTCTTCAAAATGATATCACGTTTTATATTTTTTCCATATAGTATGAATAGGTACATATTTTATAAGTGTATAACTTAACAAAAATTGGTACTTAATAGTGAGAAGAAAATGCTGCCAGGTATACCAAACTCGCTTTACATAAAATTTTTCAAGTAGAAAAACAGAAATGAGTTTACAGTAGAACTTAAGATTTAAAAATATGTTGTCACCAAAGATTACTGAATAGACTTTGGTGAAAGAAATACTTCAGCCCAATTAAATTTGAAGGTGTTTAATTGAGCAATGAACGATTTGCGAATTGGGCAGCTTCCCGAGCCAGAGAAGGCTCAGAGACTCCAGTGCAGCCACATGATGAAAGAACATTTATGGACAGAAAAAGGAAAGTGGTGTACAGAAAATAGAAGTGAGGTACAGAAACTCCTGGATTGGCTACAGCTTGGCATTTGTGTTATTTGAACACGGTTCAAACAGTTGGCTACATCTGATGAAAACTCAGTGATTAGCACAAGTGTAGGCTACGATCTGATTGCCCTTCCACTTGTTCTGGTTCCTGATGTACAGAAAATCCTGTAGGCCCAACTTCAATATGTAAGGAGGCAGCTTTAGGCTAAACTTGATTTAACAACTTTAATATTACACTCAGCCATTTTGATTGACTACATGGTTCTTTGATTTATAAAACTTTGTCTACCATGAGGGAAGAATGTAGTTGAGACTAGAGTTCAAAATCAGAATCTAAAATAGTTAGTGAAACTGGAGTAATTACTCTGGAGCCTGAATTGAATTGGCAACTTCACCATATTATTAAGGTTACTCATTAAATGATGACTTATTAAATGATGATTTGGTGTAGTGTACTACAGCTCTACTGAAGCAGTCTCTTTAATGTTGGGATTTGAGGATCTGCATTTTTAACAAGTTCACCAAATGATCATGATAAATGATAGAGTTTGAGAATGATCCTTCTGAAGATATCTATTATAATGTGTTTCACATATAGTACAATTAATTTAATACTACTCATGAAATTGGAAGTTAAAATTTACCAGTCAACTTTCTGTGTATTCTGGTGTCATACCTGATGAAGCTCACTGCTTCTTCATTAGTGAATGATTTAAACAAATACTGATTCATTGCATACTATATGTGTGGCAATGTTTTCGTCACGATGTTATTAAGTGAACAAAAGAGATAAATTTTTTGTTTTCATAGAAGTTACATTTTAATGGTGAGGAAGAGTGTAGATAATAACTACATATGAAAATAACTAGGTTTTAATAGACAGTGATAAGAGTTATAAAGAAACATCAAAAATAGAAAGTAGAACTCTAGACTTATCTACTATAAAAAAACAAAGACCAAAAAAATTATGCAGTAGTCTGATCACAACAAACAATATTCTTCCTGATCCCCAAATCTTCCTCCCAATCTGAAATAAAAGAAGACACATTTATTGGAGAATGGATTAAGGGACAACTCTACATTAGCAAAGACAGGAAAAAAACAAAGATTAATATAAGTATTGCACAAATAACCAGATGATATGACTTTGTGTTGTAACAACATACTTTATATGCATTGAGATTTTGGGTTGGTCAGTAAATATCTTTGAGCCAAAATTTTTTCAGGTGGAAATGGAAACAACACTTCCTGTTCTGTTTAGCTTATGGACATAGTTTATACAATTTATCCTCAAGCCAAAAACACAGTTAAATAAAGACAAAACTTTATTTTTTTATGACTTAAATTCTGTCTCAACTCATCATACAAATGTTGGCTCAAAACTTAATATCAGACAATGAATAGTCTTGAAACCCTTTTATATATTTTCCCTCTTTGCTTCTTTGTCTTTTTCCTATATTCCCTGCTCTTACCTAGTATATAGGAATTGCTGGATATTCCAAAATGTTTATGTTCCTTTCATGATCTTTATTACCATTATTCATTTCCTCTGGCGTCTAATGACCTATCTATAGTCACAACATCACATTTACACTTTATTTCATGCACTTTGTGACTTAATGCTGGGTCCTCTGGCTTTCTCTCAGAACTTTTAGGCTCCTTTGTGAATGACTATCTACCCTAGGTTGCCTTGGACCACTGGATTATGTTGGATTAATGATTAATTCTGCACTCTTTCATTCTCAAAGTTTACCCAGTTTTGATGATAGATAGTAACCTTCCTGTTTGAATAGTCCCTCTGAGCTCTTTCGAGTCACCTAGACTGGAAGCTTTTTCAGGCCTTCTCTAGCTAGACCTTTTCTGACATTATTGCAATTATACTACCCCCATAGAATGATTACAGGAGATTTCTTCTACAAGGTTCATCATGTTTTAGGGCATCAGTGGCAAGTGAGATAGTGTTCTCTCTACTCTATCCAAAGCAAACTCTGTCGAGGGTTTTGCAACACTCCCTGCTGCCTGAGCAGAGGGTGACTGATACACCTGGCCCATTTTTCTGAAACATATATCGAGAAATAATTTATTTCTTTTTCCACCTTGTCTACAAAGTTCTTTCTAGTTTTGCTTGGTAAGGAAAGTGGGAGATTGGCTCTTTCTTTCTTTCTTTCTTTTTTTTTTTAATGGCAGAGGCTCTAAGCCTTGATTCCTTTGGGGTTTTGCTTTTGATATGCAAAAACAGGCTTCTGAATTCTAAAACCTTTTCTTTCTCAAAAAGATTTTTCCTTGTAAATCAAAACCCTGCTTTTCAAGAGCACTTAGATAGTTAGAAGTGTATAATTTGACTCTATTCTCTGTATCTGGCTACATTGTTCTGCCTCTGAGGTAATAATTCCAGAACACTTTAGCTTAAGGTATAGTTTTATAGGAGATAGAGGCAACAGATAACAAAACAAAACAAAAACATATTTTTGAGCGTGTGTGTATTTTTTTTTCTAACACATCAAATAAAGATCAGGTAAAATAATGTGTTAAAGGGTAATTTACAAAAAATGAATAAATAAAAGTGGACATGAAGTGATTAAATAACAGAATCCAGAGCTATCATTATTGATGTATGATACTTCATTTTTTAGAAAGGACATGACATAAAGTTAGGTAAGAGCAAGGTTATTATTTTCACCTCTTGTACTAAATAAGAACTTACTTCCAGCCAAAAGGATTAAAAATATTCCTCTTACTCTCCTAAAAAGCAGAAGGCAAATTTCGGGTGTAAGAATGCAACCAACAGACAGAATTCCGTCAATCACAGTGATTCAGAATTTTCAGGTTAGAGACAGAGGTTAAGAGATACAGCCTCACCATTAAATAGTAAAACAGGGAGCCAGGATTTTGCAGAACACATT